>NC_000002.12:197792648-198095678 GCF_000001405.40 Homo sapiens | reverse complement strand
ATGTTAAATGATGAGTAACATATTCACATCCCCAATAGTAGACTCCTAGGGCTGGGTAGTACCTCACCAGGTTACATCTCCTGCTGGTAAGCTGCTGAAGCACAAGATCTGCTGAACCTTCCACAACATTTAACGCAGTGGCTTGCACATTAAAAGGAGTTCAGAAAATGTTTATCAAATTAAACATCTCCATTTTCTGGCTATAACACTAAGTAACTCTTTCTGTAACCAATTTTTACTCTTAACAACACCCAATTTAAGATGAATCCTAAATGAAAAAAAGTCATATTACTTTTATTTGCAAAATATAATTATATGACATTATCAGCCTTAAAAGACGATGACTCTGTGACTATACTACCTACTTCAGTGGGATATTTTTCCAGAGAAAGTAAAAATCCAGAGTGGGGAAGTGATGCTTGCTCTTTCAGAGACCTGAGCCAAAAAAGAAGAAGAATCGCAGTAAAATAAATGGAAGAGTCACTTAGAAATGGTCTTCTGATTTCAAATTAAGCTCCAGGGACAGTTTCTGGAAAACTTTCCTGATGAGCAGAGGGCCACTGAAATGGCACTGTGGTGAACAATCCAATGCCAACAGCTCTTCTCTTTGTGTATTTAGCCTGCGAAAGAGGCATCCATTCTACCTTCGACTTTTAGAGCCTTTTCTACTTGCCAGAGTTATTGATTGATAGTGCTCCCAGTTCCCTCTAGTGCTGTTTTAGAAGCTGTACACTTCCCACCTCCAGCCGTGACACGTTTTATATCAGCAAAGTCATCTCTGCTTCAGTTGCACAAAATACTAGATAGGCATTTACATGGCAACATCCTATTGAGAGTATTAATGGTAACAGTAAACAGGGCTGCCCGTAAGCAAATTGCAATTCTTTGAGCAACCCCACCTTCACCTTACCCAGACTTGGTGAACCCTCTGTCATTACCATCTCTCGCTTCTCCCAGGTTAAAACCTGCTTGTAGAACAGGATCTGCTAAATTTACTCGAAAGTAAGAATGAATTACTGATAACCCAGTGTGTTATTACTCACAGGGATGTTGCTGCATTTTAAAAAAGATAAAAAGTCTTAACCCTAGGGAACTGGTTGTAATTTTGAAATTTCAAGTCCCAGGAAGCAGACAGAAAACGTATACTTTAAGTAAGATGTGCTAAGACAGGGGAGAGTGTGCCTTCCCTTTCTTCTGAAATTCTGCCACGTCAATAGGCCCATTTTGCTACAAATACATTTGATTTTTGATTTCTTGATACCAACACAGTTGCTATAATGGAATTATAATTGCAAGACTAATTTAAAAGGACTTTTAAGGCTGGGCACGGTGGCTCACACCTGTAATCCCAGCACTTTGGGAGGCCAAGGCGGGCAGATCACGAGGTCAGGAGATCAAGACCATCCTGGCTAACATGGTGAAACCCTGTCTCTACTAAAAATACAAAAAATTAGCTGGGCATGGTGGTGGGTGTTTGTTGTCCCAGCTACTGGGGAGGCGGAGGCAGGAGAATGGCATGAACCCAGGAGGCGGAGCTTGCAGTGAGCTGAGATCGCGCCACTGTACTCCAGTCTGGGCGACAGAGTGAGACTCCGTTTCCAAAACAAAAAGAGAGAGAGAAAAAAAATGACTTTTAAGACTGAATTTTAAAACCCTCAGGAGGAAATATTTTCAAATATTTAATGACTAATAAATAGTGGGATTTATTTATTTATTTATTTATAGTGGGTAATAAATATGGAAAGCTAAATTTAGGGGAAAAAATCTGTGCAGATGAACTCAGGGTCAGTGTTTTCTAGAATATTTTATTTTATTTTCCCTTGATAATAGTATAATTTGATGCACTCAAGTTTGCTTTCAACAAATGTAGGCTACCAAGTTGCCTGATTTCTTTCTTTCCATACTGAAAAAAGAAAACATTTGTATCTGTTCAGGAAAGATTTCAGGTTGTTTTTATTCTAAACATATTCTGCATTTTTTAGTGGTAACAATTTTTCCTCTTGGATGGCATCTACACAGTTCATTACCATTTTCAAGAAATCCAAAAATTTAAGCAACTTAAGTCTAAATTGAACCCAAGCTGTTCATTTTGGAATACCTTCTCCCCACACCAACCACACCACTAGGCAATAAATCTTGGATTTGCTTTTTTCCCTTATTCATCCAAATCAGTTTTTATTAATAGTCTGTGGTAGGTTGGGGGGGTGGTTAGACTGTATTTTTACGAGAAGTTTCAAGTTTGCATAAAAAGTAAATGGAAAGTACAGAGTCCTCACCCTCTAACTCTACCCCCACCTCCCAGTTTTCCCTACTGTTTACATTTTGCATTAGTGTGGTATATTTACTACAATTGACAAGCCACTATTGATACATTCTTATTAGCTAAAGTCCATAGTTGACATTAGGGTTGACTCTTTGTGTTGTACATTCTATAGGTTGTTGACTAGTGTATAATGACATGTATCTGCCATTACAGTTTCATACAGAATAGTTCCACTGCCTTAAAAATCCTTTGTGCTCCACCAGTTCATCCCTCCCTGACCCACTCAAAGGCCCTGGCAAATAATAATCTTTTTACTGTCTCCATAGTTTTGCCTTACTCTGTAAGTTTTTTAGCCAAATATAAGATAGGGAACAATTCAGCAAGGGTGGTGTCAGAGAGGTAAAATCAAGGGGATTTAATAATTTATCATCAAACATGTTCAGTTATAGGATGGAAACTACACGATTTTCACCAACAATAGATGCTTTTATTTATTGTTTTTACTCAGTGAACATTACCTGATAACGTGCTATGTGCCAACATTGTTTTGGGTGCCAGAGGTGACAGTAATAAATATACAGATAGGATCTAACCTCACGGAGTTTACATTCAAATTGAGGAGTAAAAGAGGACAGCAATTAAAAAGTTCAAGCAAAGTATTTTTCAATACTTCTAAGCAGGAAGATGGAAATAAAACATGGCTATGTGACAAAGGAATGTATGGGGAGAGTAGTTAGGGAAGGCTTTTCTGAGAAAATGACATTTGAGCTAAGAATTAAGAGATAAGGAGGAATAAATTATGGTGTTCCATTGCACAGTAGTGACTATAGTTAACAATAATATATTGCATATTTCCAAATAGCTAGAAGAGGTGGTGTCGGTGGTACAGTGGTAAGTACCTTGCAAAATAGCCAGAAGAGAGGATTTTAAATGTTCTCACCACTAAGAAATAAATGTTTGAGGTGATGGATATGCTAATTACTCTAATTTGATCATTACATATTGTATAAATGTACGGAAATATCACACCATACCCCATAAATATGTGCAAAGAAAGCCAGTGTGGCTGGAAGAGAGTGAGCAAAATAGAGGGTGTGAGAATGAGGCTGGAGAAGCAGATGAGACTGGAGAGGCAGGTGAGGTTGGGGAAGGCAGGTGAAGCTGGAGAGGCAGGTAGGCTAGAAAAGGCAGATGAGACTGGAGATGCAGGTGAGACTGGGACAAGCTGGTGAGGTTGGGAGAGGCAAATGGGGCTGGGGAAGCAGGTGAGAGAGGCAAGTGAGGCTGGACTGGCAGGTGAGGTTGGGAGAGGCAGTAAAACTAAAGAGGCAGGTGAGGTTGGGAGAAGCAGGTGAGGCTGGAGATGCAGGTGCAGTTGGGAGCGGCAGGTAAAACTAAAGAGGCAGGGGAGGCTGGAGAGGCAGGTGAGGTTGGGAGAGGCAGTGAGGCTGGAGAGACGGGTGAGGTTGTGAGAGGCGGATGAGGTTGGGAGATGTAGTGAGATTGGGCAAGGATGGAGAGGCAGGTGAGGTAGACAAGCAGGGGCAAATCATAAATGACCTTGTAAAGCCACAGTCAGGAGTTTCCGTTTTATTTTAATGGAACCCATTGGAGGATTTTAAGCAGGAAAGTGACTTGATTTGATCTATGTTTTTATTTTATTTTATTTTATTTTATTTTATTTTATTTTATTTTATTTTATTTTATTTTATTTTATTTTATTTTATTTTTTATTTGAGATTGCATCTTGCTCTGTCACCCAGGCTGGAGTGCGATGGCGCAGTCTCGGCTCACTGCAACCTCCGCCTCCCAGGTTCAAGCGATTCTCCTGCCTCAGCCTCCCAAGTAGCTGGGATTACAGGCGGGTGCCACCATGCCCGGCTAATTTTTGTATTTTTAGTAGAGACGGGGTTTCACTATGTTGGCCAGGCTGGTCTCAAACTCCTGACTTCAGGTGATCCACCCGCCTCGGCCTCCTAAAGTCCTGGGATTGCAAGTGTAATCCAGCCCCTTGATCTATGTTTTTAAATGTTCACTCCAGATCTGAAGAGATCTTAGAAGACCTATTTAAAATTAACACACAGTAATACACTAAGAGCATTAAAGATGCCAACCAATACAATGCAAATCCTAGAAAGTAAAAATGGTGTTTTAATTTCAAGGCCAATATCATCATTACATGTATCTGTCCCTACCCACCCCATCCCCCAAATAAATACTCAACAGAGATGTCAATGGTGTTTTTAATCATTTTTGAATTCTACCAAGTTTACCATGTGGTATAAGGATATTTACACTCAATTCCCTCCCAAAATGGTTTTCCATAGAGAACTGTACATGAAAGACTTCATTATAAGTATTTCTGCTTCCACCGTAGCCTTTTATTTTAATCTTTGAAAACCATGCTCTGCCTGCAATTACAATTTGCATTGTAATAATACAGATGAGAAAAGGCTAATATTTCAGTCTTGGCTTCAGCAGATAAAACAAAAAATAAGACACTGTCAGACACTCGGGGGTGTGAAATGGCAATTGCCCAGCCCCAGACCAGGTATCCTTCTGCTTATTACAGGCCAGCTTCAGGGACCTCCCTGGCCATGAATGATTTCTTTTTCTTAGCTTAAAAGAGAAGTGGAGGAATAAGTGATTTCTACTGTCTGTCTCTATGGCAACTAGTACCCTAATTTCACCTCTTAGATGGCAATTATACCTATTCACTGAATAGCTTTCAGTCCCCATTTTTATGATGAAAAAGTTGATTTCATGAAAAATGAGATACAGGTAATAGGTAAACTTTCCCCCTAGCAACCATGAAGTACATTTTATAACAGGTATGGTCATTCATAAGCAGAACATGCCCTGTGGAAATTTTTCTTTTTCATTCGTAGAATGTTTATCTCCAATATCTTTCTTCTACTTGTTTTTTAATGACAAAATCTTCATCTTTTCTTCCTTAAGGTTTATTTTATGCAATTATAAAATTAGTTGGGTTCATTATAAAGAGTTTGGTGAATATAGAAAAAATACAGAAAAGCATAAATAAGAAAATAAAATTCACTCTTATATAAAAACATTCACTATTAATAACCTGCTAGCAACTTAGGGGCATATTCATAGAAATGTAATTTAAATCCTATCTCCCATTTTATTGTAATCAAATTTTCTACAAAACATTGTAAGGACTTCTCCATACCATTACATATTCTTCTAACACATGATTTTAATATCTTCAAAGGAATCTATAATATAGATTATTATATTTCACTTAGCTAATCTTTCTATGTTGAATTATTAACATAAATGTTTATGCTTCTCTCTACTGGCTTAGAATAAATCCAAGAAAAGGAACTCTATAGATCAAACTCGTAAGCATTTTAAATTGTATTGCCAATTGTTTCTCCAAGAAATACTATATCAATTTATTTTTCCACTAGAAGTAGATGAATGAGAGTATCCATTTGCTTAAATTCTTGATCAGAGGTACTATTTTTAAAGAGAAAAAACATGTCAATTTAATGGTGAGGGGAATATCTTACTATATTTTCTTAATTTCTAATTAAAAACTTATTTTAAAGTTAAATGTTTTTAATTTTTCATTGTTATTGGGTGGGGGGTAAGTGAATTGCCTATTCACCTCTGTAGCAGACTATTGGTTGTCCCTTAATATCCATTCTCCCCTTATTTCCTAGTAACAGAAGAGACAACATTTAGCATATAGCCCCTTGAAATGATATTTTCCATTCTCCTTTGCAACTAAGTGTGGCTATATGTCAACTCCAGGCTGATGAAATAAAAGCAAACATGATCTATTCTATTCCAGAGAAACGTCCTTAAAGGAAGAAGCTATGTCTTACATCTTTTCATCACTCCTGATGGTTGGAATGCAGATATTATGGCTGGAGCTCAGCACCCATTTTGGACCATGAGGATAAGGGGTACATTCTAGGAATTAGCTGAAAAATATAGATTCTATATAAATTTTGTCTCAACCATCATAAGGCAGCACTGAGACATGTTTACTTCCCATAGGTATATAATTAAATGGTTATATTGCACTCTAAAGTCATTTAGATGATGAGTGTACATATTTTTGAGGGTTTTTTAATAATTCATTCCTTGCTAAAGCAGAGTTTTCCACTTATAACCTGTGCAGCTCCAGGTTCAAGTCATTTTCTCAGAGTTTTCCACTGAGACTTAGCAGAAGCTGAATGGGCCGGCTCTGCATGCTACCTCCAATCCATGTTTCAAAGGTAGTCACCCTGTGTTATTCATTGGAGTTCCACAGAGGAGTCCCTGCTATTTGTGATTTCACACACACACACACGTAAAAAAATATGGAGTCGCAATTTCCTACCAGATCATAAGCAGTCAGCATCTTTTTCTGCACATCTGGAATTGCACCCAGAGGCTCCAGGTAAGGAAAGCTGTCTTTCATCACAAGTGAGACTGAAGGAGTATTGTCACTGGTGATGAGCCGAGATGACAGAGTTAACAGGCACTGCTTCAGACTGGCAATTGGAGGGAGTCCACATAGTTCCTTAATAGACACGATTGCATTCTGTGAGGAAGAAAACATGGAATCACACTTCTGACCACCTGACACATCACCGCCAGCACTCCCAGGTTTACAGAAAAGTACATTCATTTTTAAAAGATAATAGAGGGCTAATTCATAACTATACTTCATCTTGCTCAATTTTTAGCAATCACCACAAACAACCCATGAAAGCAAAGCAGAGTGGGACACAAGGCTATGCAGTGCTTTTCAAAGCAGACCACTGGGATAGTCACACAACTAAGTACTGGCTGATCATGAATGTCATGTTTGATTTGTATCATGGTGATCAGGAAAACAGAATGGCAGGGGTTGTACACTGGAGTGCATTTCACTTGGGCTTTTTTCCTCAAGGTAGCAGGATGCTACTGCTCACCACCCTCCATCTGACTAATCAATGGCATTCCTTTGTCACTTCATCAGAAAGGCACCTGACAGACACACACACTGAAAGCACATTTCATGTAGAGCTACATTTGTCCATGTTACAGTCTTTTCAAAAAATTCATTTGAAATAGAAATTATGACTATTTTACATTTCACCCACAGTGAACAGTACCTAACTTATTAGGTGTCTCATGAATTTCATGACAATGATCACCTTCATTTTTCTTCTGATTAGACTCCAAATAATCCTTAACCCCAAAGACTTTATGTTAAGATAATATGAACTATCAACGCTACCTGGATACACTTTATCTATAACACTTCTATGTATTTTAAATACATAATATAAAATATGCAAAGTACATATTTCAAGATTATATAAAATATGTAAAGTCTAATCTATAAAGTTAAGTGCAGAAATGGTTTATAACTAATCTAACATAGGGATTTATAATAGTACTAGAATTATGTCAGAAAAAGTTACATAGAATATGCTGATATTGGGACTCTATTTTTTAAATGGTGGCTAAGACAACCTACCACAAGTATTTAACTGTGCCGTGGGTTTGTGGTTCTGCACATGAATGATAATGGAAATGGATTTTGGTATTAGGCAATCCTGGATTTATTTTCTTTAATTTTTAACTTTTGCAGGTACATAGTAGGTATATATATTTATAAGGTACATGAAAAGTCTTGATACAGGCATGCAATATGAAATAAGCACATCATGAAGAATGGGGTATGCATCACCTCAAGCATTTATCCATTGAGTTGCAAACAATCCAATTAGACTCTTTAAGTTACTCTAAAATGTACAGTTATTATTAACTATAGTCACCCTGTTGTTCTATTAAATACTGGCAGTCCTGGATTTAAAGGCTAACATTGCTATCTGTTAACTTGCAATACTTAGGAAATGCATTAACATTTTCAAATTTATTATCTATCTTGAAAACAGGGATTTTTGGTGAGGATTATTATAAACACATCAGCTAAAGAAATAAAGTGAATTGAATAATATCCACTTTGCACATTGCAGGTACTCGGTGAATATCTGTTATTGTTTGCATCTCAATAACACTAGCCTAATAAGTATATTAAGTAATTTTTTTTAAGTTTACCACTGTCTCAGATTATAAGCATTAATGAAGGAAAGAAAACTTAATATTGAATTTCTAAATGTTCAGGCTAGTCAATTTCCATATACCCTAATTTTACTCTAATAATAATTTTGCGATAAGTGTAACTATTTTTCTTACCTTATATGGAGAATATTGATGATCAGAGACCTGAAATAATTTGTTCAAGATCGCACAGGGATAGATTTGATCAAGAACCCATGTTCTTTCAATTAAACCACATTTCTAAGACAAGGTTAAATATTTTTCAACCAGTTTGAGTGCCAATTTTTTTTGTTTAGTTTTACTTGTTCTTGTGGGGAGTAATTTATTATTGTTGTCATTATACCTAATTTAAAACTAAAAAGTAACCTAATAGACATTATGCTTGTTTTATATCACTTCAAATTCTTTCATGATCATATATGCAAATATGTTATATATACACTGGTAATTAGTATGTGTATGTTTGTATAAATTTTTTATGTATTACACACATATATTGTATATTCTACTTGGTTCCCATTGTTTCAGATGCACATTTCCATATATTGATTCAGTTTTGTACTAAGGATATTTAATATACAGCATTTTGCTACATCTTAGTTCAGTCCAAACTTAACATAGCATTCACAGTTAGAAACATAAAATATATCTGTTTTATCACAGACAATACTGAACTTAGTTCAATGGTACACAGGTTTACACATCTTTCTTTCTTTTTATTTTGAGACAGGGTCTTGTTCTGTTGTTGCCCAGACTGGAGTGCACTGGTACAATCACAGCACACTGCATCATTGACCTCCCAGGCTCAAGTAATCCTCCCATGTCAGCCTCCTGGGTAGCTGGGACTACACGTGCTCGCCACCACATCTGGCTAACTTTCATGTTTTTTAGAAATACAGGGTTTCACCATGTTTCCCAAGCTGGCCTCGAACTCCTGGCCTCAAGTGATCCACCTGCCTCAGCCTCCCAAAGTGCTGGGATTACAGGAATGAGTCACCACACCCAGACTTAAACAATCTTTCTGATAAATTTTTGCAAATCAGATTATTAATAAAACATTATACGGGTAGGAATAAGCAGGGATAGGGAAGGAGAGTGTGAGTGTTTCTCCTACCTGCATATTTTCTCTCATATCTATGGCTTCTCGTAATGGATGAACCGCTATTTTAAAGATGTCATCAATGGTTTTAAGACCGATATTCCTGAGCATGGTATATTCCCGAACTTTCTTCCCCATTCTCACTGAAAGACTGCGCTTCTGTGCCTTTCCTCCTCCACTTCGATTAGTTATTGCTATGTGGACAAAAAGGGTTACGTGCTCCATGATGTCACCCACAAAAGAACGCAGGGGAACATGCCGATATCCAGGCTGCAAACATTCAAATGGTATCGTATATTGCCCTATAAACTCATCCCCAATGTAGTCATCATCCAGAACAACAAAACGGATCATGGCCAGCTCAGGTAGGTTTACTTGGAACTCAAAAGTTTCATCAAAAATAGGATTATCACTGTTTTGCTGTACAGTTTTAGTTCTTTGTTCCGAACAATCCGCTGGAATTCCGTGTATCTCTATACAAACATAGGGATCTATGACATCCCCTTTGGCACAAGCTCCCTTGGGCTTTGGGAAATTCTGACCACTGATGATCTTGATATGAAGAGCTAGAGGAGACACCCCAGGTAGAATGCCCTTTGTATTTGCGCTGAAGTAAGAAACTTCATCTCGCATTATAGACGGCCTTAGAACATAACCACATCCCCCGTTTTGAAGAAACCAGCCCGTGTGAAGGTCCATCATTGGACCCGGAGTCTGAAAATTCATTGCTACAATCTGACAGCCACAATTCCAAAAGTCCTGTGGATTCAAGTTACTGGAATCGATCCTCATGGCACTTGGATAGATTCTTGATAAGAACTTCTTATTATAATTAACAAAATCCTCTGGGTACTCATTTGCAATGCGGCTGGCCTCTGTTTCACTAAATGAACACATTTCCCAATAGTTTTGGCTTTTCATAGATAGTTCAAAATCCCTGTATTGAACAGATTTACAAATAGACACCAAATCAGAGAGCTCCCTACAGAGTCGGATTTGCTTCTGCTCACCATTGTAATCTACCGACATCCTTCGAGACATTTCAGCTTCTTCATCTTCATCTGTTACTTCTCCTTCTAACACATCTGGATCAGAAGGCAACTTCTTTCCTTTCACAATGATCATTCTTTTTAATTTTTCTGGTGATGGGAGGTAGGATTCTGAGGGCAAAGGTGCTTCAGTATAGAGTTTATTGCCAAAGACCTTTTTCATCTGTTGAGCCATTACCTTCTGCTGCGGCAAGGAGCAGTGATTTCCCAAGCAAAGAATGAGTGGGTATTCAGAAGCAACAAAGGCAAATTTATTTATTACCTCTATGACACTTCGAAAGGAAACATGGGTTGTCATGTTATTTCGATTACAAAGGATTGGTTCATTATCTGAACCATCACTTACATCGAGTTCAACGCTTCGACAGCCCATTTTCAAAGCTCTAATGTACCCATTGATGTCAGCTGGCCCCCTGAACTGGTCTTCTATTAGATAGGTGTTATGAGAGGCATTGATATAGTAGTGAGATAATGGCTGGGTCATATCTTGGGCAACCTTCTTTTGCTCAGGATCAAAAATGTCACATTCTGATGACAATAAATACTGGGTAAAGCCATCAATTGCAAGAAACCCTTTTTGACGTCCCTCTTCAGAAAGTTCGTATCTCCTTATGATGTCTAAGCATATATCCTCGGTGATATGGGTGACTCCTTGCTCAGCTTCTAAAAAGAGCATGAGATCATTGGCATCCAAATATTCTTTGTTTTTAGATATCTGTACAAGTAAGAAATACACTTCTGGCCTGGTGCAAAGTTCACAAAAAGCTTCACAAAATTCCTCTTCGGTCACGCGGGTGGTTAGTTTTTCCTTGCTCTTCTGGATTTCTTTAAACTTTAACCTGATCTTGGCTTCCTTCAGAGTAGGGTTGAGTTGTTTTATTAACTCTACAGAGGTGTCTTCCAACATAATCCCATTCCCATCAACATCTGCTGCTTCAAACACTGTTTTCAACCACATGAACCGTGGTGTGTTCTGGTTGCCCTCCATAAAATCAAGAGGCTGCTTACTTCGAGAAACCAGGTACCGTAACCCAGACACCCAGATGTTTGCCACATCTGCTGAATTGGCAACTAGGTCCAGAGACTCATAGTTTTCCCCGTGGAGTATGGAAAAGGCACAGTCCTCACAGATCTGGTCAGCAAGGCCATTGTTTCTAAATGTTTCCGTGTTTTTCCCCAGTCTGATCTCTTTTATGGCAGAAATATCAAGCTTGGCTTTCTCGAGGTCTTTCTTTGAAGGTTCCCAGCGAAGAGCTTGAAGGTCTGTGTCCAGAGTGAAAAAACGGTTGTAAATGCGAGAATTTGGCCGGACTTTCTTCAACTCACAGCCAGCTTGCATGAAGCTGATGCAGTCATTTGCACTGCTAATTTTCTTTTCCGATGGCATGCTGCTGAAAGACACGGTTTTCTTTCTTCCACCACATTTTTGGTTTGAAGGATCCTGTAAAATAATTTGAAAAAAATGAATCAATTTCCTTTAGAAAACAGACAAATTCAGTAACACTCTATGAACTCCTCAAACTTCAATTCACATATTGTGATTATTTGAACAGAGGCTACCCTAAAGTTTACATTTTCACTGTTTCAGAAAAGAGAAATTGCTAAGAAAGCTGAAATTACAGGATTCAGGCAAAAACTTATTTTTCAAATGCCTATGTGGCCTTTGAAACAAAATCAAGTATTAAGTACAAATCACTCTGATTTGTTCATTAAAGCAGATTTCTTAAGAACCTCATGCTGGTGCCTCGACTACCTAGCTCAATTCCCAATAGATACGTAAAAGAAATAAAGCTGTATTTTTTTAAAGGTTTCCTCATTTATACTCTGCAACTTTCTAAAGAGGTTTTCTTAAAGTTGATTTAAATAAAAGGTTTTACCTTAACATACTTTGTATCACAAAGTGCTTAACTGAACAGCTTAACTAGAAATCACGTTTTTTTCCTGAAGCTATTTCAAGGTGTCTTGAAAGTCAAATTGAGAGCTAACAATAGCCAATCACTCTCATTTGAGCAAATTTTCAAACTGAGGTAAACAATTTGATTTTAACATTATAGGAATTCACGCCTGCATTTCAGTGCAATGTTATTAGCAGGCACAGCTTAAACCAAACAGAAATATGAATGGCTCTACTAACTTTTTAAGGTTCTTCCAATATAAGTTAAATTTCAAAGCCCTTTGCCAGAAGATTTACAGGGAACACTTGCACCTTGTAAATGCCATTTCTGGAAGTGTCCTTGGATCTTAGTGTTACAGAATTCCAGTTTCCTCAGCCCATTTCACCCTTCCCTGACCAACAGGGCCAACAGATCATCAAACTCCATCCATTCAGAAGAGGGTATCTTAAGCAGGTTTATTATTTTTTGAGGCTGTTTCCTTCTTGATTGTATCTAGGCCTTCTCACCTATCGTCCTTCCTAAAATATAGTTCCAGTCCCCTGAATACTCATGAGATGATAGATTTCATTTCAGTCTTGGACCGTTCACTGTGTCTATCATTCCCAATTCATTTACACTGAATATCTGACTGATGCCACTTACACTGGGTATTTCTTTATACTAGTCTCTGTTCTGACCACAGACTCAATTAATGATGCTCCCAACCACATCCCAATTCACGTGATTGCCCCAGGAACAAATTTTCCAAAAGAGTCGTAATGCATGTTTACCATGCCCAATTTTATAGGGCATGCCAAAGAGTCAGCAAAATGTAGAGTGCAAAGTACCTTGTCCTTGGAGCAAAAATAACTTTTTTTTTTTTGACAGAATCTCGCTCTGTTGCCCAGGCTGGAGTGCAGTGGCGTGATTTCAGTGCAATGCAACCTCCGCCTCCCGAGTTCAAGCGATTCTCCTGCCTCAGCCTCCCGAGTAGCTGGGATTACAGGAACGTGCCACCATGTTCTTGAGTTGTAATTATTCCACTCCCTAAATATATCACCTTGAGTGAGTCACTTAACCTCTCTCAATCTTAATTTCTGATAGGAATTAATAATCTTTTCATATAACATAGTGTCATTGTGAGACTGAAAAGAGAAAATGTGCGTGACTGTTCTTTATAAACTGTAAGCGCTTGAAAGGTTATGCTTTTCAAAGGAAGAGGAGCATTGCCTTTTACACCCAGTAACTGTAGGACTATGAGTAGGTACTGACCAGGATATTGGGTGTTATATAGAAGTTAATTCATTCCTGACTTCCGAACATTTCAGACAAATCTTCGGTGATAAATTGAAAATATTTTTCAAACAACCACATAAGATTACTATTTCAAATATTGAAAAGTATAACCAAAGTAGTCTGGACCATATCCTTCATTGGAAATATTTTAAAACAGGGTAAAATATCTTCTTTGGGGCCTCATTTCATCAGTTCTGCCTACAGAAGCTTGCCTATCCTATGATTCAGAAAAGACAGGATAATTTATTATTCAATTGACTAAAACCCTACCCATGAAAAGGAAACAAAATTTGCTTTAGTTATGAGATGTTGGTGGGATGATTCAGTGACTCCAATTTATATCAGATCTTCAAGTGACAATGATATAAATTACCCAATTTAGATTACAGAATATTGCCTGTTGGTGCCCTGGCATTTGACAACTTAGCTCCTGCATTTACAAAGAGTTGCTGTTTTTAATTATCCTATAGTGGTCAGTTTCCTCATCCTTAAGTTAAAAAACATCTATAAATCTTAAGCTATTTATACACAGATGATCTATTAGAACACATTTAAATTTGTCACAACCCAAATGCTCAGAAATATCAGATGTTTGTGTGTATTTTTCCACACCATCAAGGCAGGCACCTAATGGCATTGCTGAGACAGGATTAATCTACTAATTAAAATAAAGAAGAAAACTGTGAATTCTGATGGTAAATGAGACTGTGACTCAGCTTTTAAAGCTAACCATTTCATTTGCCTTTTAAGCTAATGAGAGCTTTCACATTAAAAATGATTTTTATATAAGCAGCTCATGTTCCAAATAGAATTGTTGTCAGCAGAGTGATAAAATCTCTAATAGTTTCTAACAAATATTAAATGGGAAATTAATGCTACTCTAAATGAATGTATATGGTTCCTATACCCCAAGTATGATATTATGCTAGCGTTCTCCACAGTCTATCGCCCTGCTACTGACTTGAGTCACTGTTTATTTGTAAGAACAAAACCACTCATGTCAGAATAGCTTTCTCTTACAAGGCTCTTCTCTGCCATATCTCCTTAAATCAAGACATTCCCTCCTAGAATGCCAAGCCTTCAAGAAATACATGTTTTACATCTAGCCTGCAAAAGAATCCACCTGCCCATAATGCTTATTTCTTGCTTTGACCCACAATTCCTACATGATTATAAAACTTATATCAAAATCCCACCTAAAACTTGGAACCAGTAAAAAGACATGATTCTTAGGTTGTCATTTTACAAAGGACAGAATCCAAAGTCATTACAAGTCTCCAAATGAGCTAAAACTTGGCCAGAGCATGTGTGAACGAATAATTATCTTGTCTGCTGATGACTACAGCCAAGATTACGTACATTCAAAATACGCTGGAAAAGGTTCAGTTGTCTGATATTTCTCCAGGTCTGTCATAGGAAAGGACAATGTCTGGATTCAGAGAGCAATCACGCTGTTCTTTCAGTAGCCATGCTATTGGCTCTGACAGGTTGGGAGGAGGGGAGATGGAAATGGTGCCTCAGCGGACTGAAGGGTGGACGACTCCAAATCTCCTTCTAAGCTTCACCACCACCAGAGTCCTACACCCCTACATCTGTATTCCCTCAAGAAGATCTTGGCAGATTGATGGTGAGAAAGTAGGAATATTAAGGTAAACAGACTAGAAAAAGTTGAAGGTTGAGTATCAGTTTTCCTTCTTGGTAAATACAAAACATAATTATGATGATGATGATTGAATGAGAGTCAATTCTCTCTTAACACAATTCAACTATACACTTAAAAATGGTTAAATGGTAAATTTTATGTTGTGTATGTATTGGGAAGATGGGTACTTTTGGCACTTTCCAAAAGAAACCAAGTTTATTATCAGTTCAGGTGTGCTCCAGCCAATGTGTAGCTCATTAGATGACTGAACTGATTCCAATGACCATAACATCTTTCCAGGAGATTTTTATAAACTACAAGGTCTTTCAGCTTATTTCAAAGCTAACTCTCCTCACATGAGAATGAAGGCAAGAGGCTGAAGTACCAATACCCCTTCCACCCAACTCCTGCCCCACAACCAAAGTCTCTCTTTGAGCAGCTTACAACAAACGCTTTAAATTTATTAAGATAAATAGTGCATTGTCATGCCTCTGTCCCCTAAATTAAAGCTTAACCTCATATTGTAGTTGAGTCCAATAATTAGTCAGACATTGAATTCAATCCTTTCTACTTCCTAATATTCTATGCATAAGTCTCCAAATTATCATTTCTCAAGAAAGGAATCACATTTAAATAAGTTAAATTAAAAAAAATTAACAAAATTGGGTTTATATGGTCTCTGAACATCTCTAAATAATATTTCACATTTTGGATCTACTGTCTTTTGAAATTATTCAATATCTTATAAAGGATTCAATCATCAGAATCAAGAAGAGTCTCATGAACTAGTAAAGCAATAGACAAATACTTTTTTGTTAAAACAACACAAGATTGATTTACCTATGAGCACTGTTTCTATTACATTTATATCATAAAGATAATTTCTATCTAATCTTATGCTATAATGTCTGATTTCTAAACTCAGAAATCATTTCAAAATACAAGGGGAAAATGGCCAAATGTCTTTTTAATTTTTAAATTATTTTCTACAACACTGTTGCTTATCTACTACTGTTAGGAATAGGATACCAATCATGATTAAATGAGACTCGTCACAACAGCAAAATATTTTCAGCTTCCTAAATATTTAATATTTTTAATAATTGTATTAAAATATTTAATAATTTTATTAAACTAAAATTGGAAACAAAGTTCAGATAAGCCAAATTAATAAACATGTTTCCATAAATTCCCATTGACATTTGCTCTCCCTAAGCCCAATAAGATTGGATATAATGCAAGCTCCTTAATCAAAATTAAAAAAAAAATCATTTTTCTTCAAAACACATTGATAAGCCCCCAGAAAACTCTACTTATTCAATACAAGTTTTGGATCTCAATCATGAAAATATCAAATTATTTCAATATAAATTCAGGAAAAAGTATACTGAAATTGCACAAAAAATGTGAATCTACCTAATGCTTATACACTTAGAAATGGTTATGTACTTAAGTGTACTTACACACTTAAAAATGGTTAAATTGTAACTTTTATGTTATGTATATTTTAACACACAGGGAAAAAATGCACACTGAAGCATTGTACAAAAATTTAAAAGTGAGTAAAGGAAATACCAAGCCCAAGCTTCCCTGCCTTTGACCTCATGAGCATATTTAAATATCTAATTATATCATCACATATACTTTTTGGTGTTTTGGCAAGTTTTTTTTAAGCAAACAGTTCTAAAATGATTCTTTGTTAGAACAAATTTACACAACTCTAAAGACTAGAAATCAAAACACCAGTTGTCAAACTGTGATGAGAAGGAATCTTTGTTTCATAACACTGAACTCCAGCTACATAGTGTAAGGGAGGGAAAGATTTATATTTGAAAAGTTCTCTTAAGAAATTATTAATAAAAATTTAATAGATTATACTAAAAGATAAGCATATAGGCACATAGGTTTGATTTTCACCATACAGACCCTATCTGTTCATATATACAACCTATACACTATAAAAATATGCTATTCATTCTGGTTTTGTGAAGTTCCAAGCAAAACTGAGAAACAAAAATTTGGTTGATACATGACATTCTCAAAGGATGGTAGACAATATACAATCTAGAATCCAGATAACTCCAACCTTGGATACTGAGAAGCCTCTGGTCTTATTCTTCATTTATTCATTTGACAAACAAGAATAGGTACCTACTCTGTGACAAAGTCTAGCACATTACAGAGTTTGGAGGAAACTGATAAGGTTTCATTTTTATCTTAGATATATCACTCTGCATATGTGCTAAAGGGATTTGATACGGACAAAACTGAAGATGGTACATTAGATGACTATTTCATTCAGCATTACAATAAAGAGATAGTGATGGCCTGAGCTAGATTCCTAATAAAAAGGATGAAGGTATTAGGTAGATTAGGAAGGTATCCTAATAAAAAGGATTCCTAATAAAAAGGATGAAGGGATTAGGTAGGTTCCTAATAAAAAGGATGAAGAAGAGTGGGAAATATCAAGAAACATGAGGTAAAACAACTTCTTGACTGAGTAAAGGATGACTTCTAGGTTTTTGGTTTGAGTGAGAAGTGAGTGGAAATATTACTAAATGAGGTATGAAATATCAGGGGAAGTGAAGTTGAAGTGGAAACTAAGTTTACTTTGGGCCATGGTGGATTTTACATGACTATGGGCCATCTAGGTGAAGTTGCCCAATGGAAAGTTGGATATATGAGTCAAACCTCCAGGGAGAAGTCTGGGCTGCAGTTTCAGTGTTGGAAGTTATACCCGTAAAGGGATAAATAGAACCTTGAGCATAGTACAGTCACCTATTAAATAAAAGCAGTTAGAGATGAGCTAAACCCAGAGGAACACCAGTATTTAGAGGCTGGGCAGGAGAGAAGACCTAAAAGAAAAGAAGAGCTGAGGGGTAAGAAAACCAGGAGAATGAGCTTCCACAGAAGCCAAGACTAAAAGGAAAGCGTGTTGGAAATTAAGATCTGAAGATAAGCTTACTGAATTCAGCAGTTAAGCAGTTACTGCTAACTTGGGCAAGAGAATGTCTTATGTTCCTTTTTTTTTAAATTATTATTATTTTTTATTATTATACTTTAAGTTTTAGGGTACATGTGCACAACGTGCAGGTTTGTTACATATGTATACATGTGCCATGATGGTGTTCCTTTTAAGATGCCTAGGATAGAGAACGAAATGAGACCCAAACTGCTGCCATGACAAGACTGAGAGTAAAGGGTTCCAGGGAAGGAACAAAAGTCCTTCAGTGGGAAAGACAGCCAGGATGGCTACTACCATATACTAAGTGAGATAAAGTGGCCCCAAATGAGACCGAATAACAGGCAGAGGCAGAGAGTAATAAATCCAGGAGAGGGCTATCCTCAAAAATGTTGGCTCCACTAACCTGGATTGTGATCACAGAATGGAATTCAGTTCTGATGCATACATTTTGCCTTTCCAATGGGCCTATGCTCAAAATCACATCCATGTTTGGCAGTTAAGTGTTCTGGAGAAAACCCTTACCCATACACAAGGCCTAACAGTTCACACAAAATTCAAGATGGTGGGAGAGATGGGATCATCACTGTATCTGTTGCCTTCAAGTTTCAGAAAAGGGAAGTCTGCAACTATAGAATTATACCATTAATTTCACGTTAAATTTTCCCAAGTTTTATTCCCATGGTCAACTCCAGTTACTTAATGCAGAGACACAAACAGGTGATGCACTTATTTATGGTTAATACCATGTGACTTACCCAGGGTCACTGTGATGCAGTGGGAGTGGAGGTCCTAATGGCCACTATTGAGAAGTAGCTGAAGCATAACCCAAGTAAACCACTGGCCTTCCCTAGTGGGTCCCTTATTGGTAAGGATCTGAACAGTTATTTTATGATCAATAAAAAAAGCATTTATTGTCTACACCATCTTCTAAGTCAACAGAATTAATTAAAGGCAATGCTAAGTGTATGCATGCAAGTTTCTCTAGCCAAATTAAGTTCTATGTCTGAATTTACCATTAAATTTTATTTATAAAAGGTGATTCATTTAATAAAACGCACTAAAGCCATCTCCTTTAGGAAACCCACACTGATATATACGCTGTGGTGGGGATGGGATACTAATTAAAATATGGGCAGCCAGTGACCCTCTAAATTTTACACATCTTCTCTGAAATGACTCTCTTCACTTGGAAGCAAAAATAATTGATGTTCTACAGGCAAAGCTAGTGATAGAGTGCTGAGAAAAAAAAAAGAGTCCATTTCAGAGTGGGTAGTTAGTACCATTGATTTGTTTTTGTAAACAGAAGAAGCTTCCACTGTGCTGTACCTCACTGCAATCATTTGCTCATTAGAACTCATTAAGAAGGGACAATCTAAATAAAAGTGATTATCTCAAGCTCTTCTTCTGTATAGTTTCCATCCAGTTAGGGTTTTTCTGCAAGAATGATTCTTATTATACACATCCAATGGATTATTTCAAATACA
Organism: Homo sapiens; assembly: GCF_000001405.40. NCBI lineage: Eukaryota > Metazoa > Chordata > Mammalia > Primates > Hominidae > Homo > Homo sapiens. The sequence goes on along the minus strand of NC_000002.12, from coordinate 198,075,937 downwards.
ACTTCCATTTACACAAAGATTGACTGAGCCCCTACTCTGGGCTATGCATTGTACAAGTGATTTGTTCTTTAAAAAATCATTAATCCCAACACTAATGTTGTCCGGAATAAATTTTAATGTATGAATGTTTGTAGCTAATTAAATCAGTAAATAAGAACAAAGATCATCAAATTTAATAATTAGAGCAAAATGTATAAAGAATGTTTCTAAATAAACAATAAAAACAGCTTTAAATAACATTAAAGATGTTCATGAGCCAAGCCCACAAGGGAGCATAAAAGGCTGATGAGGCCTATTAAACAGAAGTACTACGTCCTTTGTAGTGTCAGCTGCTTTCATGTAAAGGCCTTGTCTCTTATTTTAATCTTGTCATTCTCCTCTTGTATCCTTCCCAGTCCACTGCTTCGTACGCAGTTATGAGATACGTGAACTTCCATTTCTCTAGTCAACAACATGGTCCTTTTCACTAATCCCACTGCTGCATGCAATGCGTAGTTTTGTTAATACTGTGCTTTAGCTGCGTCAATTTGAACAAAATGAGGGTGACAACAATAAAGGTCATCTGACGATTTATTCAGCAGCCTCTGAGGAACGACTTGCGGCTATCAGTCCTGTCCCTCTAAGACAGATGTCTGCCTCATCCTCAAAAACAATACATTTAAAATTAATAGGTAGCCTGCGCAACTCTTAGCAGAAGTGCCAAGAACCAAGTGGGCTTGGAGACCGAGATACGATTCTGTCCTTCCTCAGGAGACCCCTGCACAGCAGGGCCCAGGAATCCTGGCGGAGCTTATGCCAGCACTGACTGTTGTTTCTGGTGTGAGGATTAATTCGATGTTCTCTTGATGGAAAACAGGATGTCATGTCCCTTTAAAAGGAAAGTCAATGATGAAGTCTAGCTAAATGTATACCTTTAATACCTACATGGCTAATACTTCTCTTTCAATGTATTGTTATAAAGATTAAATGTAATGCTCCAATTATTTCACAGGTATAAACATATAACTTGATGCTTAATTAGGGCATTCATCAGAAAATTATATGTAATTAGGTAGGCCTTCAAATAGACGCATACTTTTATATTTTATTCTAATTAATGTTGCACATTTACTTAAAATACTTTATCTGAAAAATTAAAATATCAACGGGAATAAGACATTATTAAATAGAGTTCATGTCACGAACATTCCTGACAAAATTTCCCACCTCTCTTTGTGTCCTATGTAGTGAGTTCACAGAATCGTTTTTCCTTCCTTGCGACTTTTCAGGGGTTTTTTTGTTTGTTTGTTGTTTGTTTTTGAGACGGAGTCTCGCTCTGTCGCTCAGGCTGGAGTGCAGTGGCTCGATCTCGGCTCACTGCAAGCTCCGCCTCCCAGGTTCACACCATTCTCGACTTTTCAGTTTTTAATGGTAATATTTACCCCCAACTATGACACACCAATATATTATTTTCATTGATTTTAGTCACTTTGGAGTCCAAATATATTCTTTAATCATCTAAATTTGAATTAAGCATATTTAAAACTGAAAAGGAAATACCCAATGTGCTTCAATATTATGTGAGTTTTGCCATTTATTATCATAGAGTGTTATTGGAGCTAAGTTTTAGAACAGATGTGATTTATAAAAATAAGAAAATCATTTACAGTTATACCAGCTTAAGTGGAAATAAGAGACATAATTAGCCTTTCTTCAGAGCATAAATTTTCATTAATGAGATAGTTTGAAAAATAGTCAATTTCCAGGAATTTATGGTTTTCTATGCAATATTTGGTAAGGACAAAACTCCAGGTTATATGCATCACTTACAAATTCAACTCAATGACATAAAATATATAACGACTAGTGGTATTTCTTAGAAATGAAATCAGTTCTATTGTACTGTACAGTAATATATACATGTAGGTTTTTCATTACAAAAAATATTCTGTAGAAGATTTAAAAACAGTGAATTTACTTTTTAAAAACATTTTATAAATGTATGTCACTTGGGACAAGGAGACTAAATTTCAATTTCAATTTTTAAAAAACCTAATTCTATTCAAACTTAAGAAATAATACATTAATAGTCTAAACTGATCTTTCTCTAGATTTGGAGAAGTCTATTCTACCATTTAATAAATTGGTGTATATATCAACAAATGGACTCCTTCTTGCATTTGTATTAAGTCTGTATTGTAAAACTGACATTTAAATTATTTTAAACTGCCTAATTGAATCTTTCTTTTGCAACAAACCCCTTAAAGCAATCTCTGAGTTTTCCATAAGACAGATCTCTGAACCACATATAAAATACAATGTCAATTATCTTGACCCAATGCTGTGTGCAAACACATCCTTAATATGTTTTCTCTTAATGACAATAATAGAATATGTCCTTTGGGACTAGCTATCATAGAGATACAGAACCTTTGGCTCAAATAGCCAACTTGGTTTCAACGTCAAGATGAATCTGATTAAAGGTTTTAAGTTTTACCCATAACTTCCGGAATGGGTTAGAACTATCTAACACTTTAATCCTTATTGCATTACCTCTGATTAACTGAACATCAGCATCTGCTCATGTTCAAGGAACAGATGGCAGATATCAGAGAATGAATATTCTCAGCTCAGGGACTCCTTTAGGGTGAACTCTCCCTCACCCCCATTCATACCCAGTGAAGCCTCCATGGTCAAAATGGAAACAAATTCATTCTCTCAACTTAGAAAAATGTAAAAGAAAACTACATAAGCATAGTTTTTATTTGAGATAATAAAACTCAAAGTCCATAAATATCGTACTGATAGAAATTACTGAACTAATTAAATTCCTTCTCTCCAAACCAAAGTATTGGATTAGAGATTAATAAATTTTACTCACCATTACCACCTACTTGCATGACTTTTTGCAAAGCAAATTTCTATGTCTATAATTTTTATTTGTCAAAAAAATATAATTCCTAGCCTGATTCATAGGGCTGTGTCAAGGAAAAAAGGAAATAAAGCATGCTAAAGTACTTTGTAAAACATAGACCACAATCTGATAAAATTCCAGAGAAGTGAATTATAGATCTTTTTATGAAAATAAGTAAGATATGGCAATGTATTAAAGAAATATATTCTTCAAAAAGTCAGATTTATTCCAGGAATGTAGGAATGAGTCAACATGAGACAGTCCATCAATGTAATTCAATAAGTAAATTGGTTAAAAGAGAAAAACAATTGTTCATAACTGAAACTACCCCAAAGACATCTGACAAAATACAGTATCAATTCACAACAAAACTCAGTAAACTGAGAAGAGAAGAAAACTTCCTTAACATAATCAAAACCATTTCAGAATCCTAGAGAAAACATTTTACCAACTGCTGAAGATTTAGACGCATTCTCATGAAAATCAAAAAGCAAACAAAACAAAAAAGCCCACTATTTATTTACTTTATATTTTAATATAATTTTGGATAGTTAAGCCAAAGCAATAAGATAAAGATAAGAAATTAAGCGTAAAATATTGTAAAGAAAGTGACAGATCATTATTACTTGCAGAAAATATAACTATTTACCGAGAAAATCCCAAAAGATCAAATGAAAAACTTATTAAAACCAGTAAAAGTGATAGTGGCAAAATATAATATAAATATAGAAAAATTAATAGCTGCCTTATATGCCAACCTGTTTCTAAACATAATGGCAGGGGTGAATGGGGGTGAGAGGAATCCCATTCAAATCAGTAATTAAGATTATAAACAAGTCAAGAATAAACTTAACAAGATATGTGCAAAACTTATATAATTTTATTTCACTTAAAGTTAAAAGGAAAAATTAAATAAATAAAAATGTTAAAAATTACCAAAAACATACTACTGGCAAAATTCAAATTCTTCACTAATTAGCAGACAAATACAATCAAATTGTAATGAAAAGCCCAATGGGATAGTTTCAATGGATGCAGTTGTAAGAGGCATTTTAAATAACAAAGGAAACAATACATTATTCAATTATTAGTGTTAACGAATTGAGTATTCATTTGAACAAAAAAGCTAGATTTCTGCTTCATGTCAGACAAAAAATAATTTTAAATAGATTAAAGATTAAATAAAACACAGAAATGCTAGGAAAAACTATAAGAGTATATTTGTATAGTTTTGGGTGAAGAAGACCTTTTCTTAACAAATATATTAAGACCAGAAAGCATAGAGGAAAAGATTGATAGATTTGACCATATAGAAACTTAAAACTGTATTGATATTTTTTAAAAAATTGAAACTGGAAATATTTGCTATGTGTTTCTTAATTTATAAAAATTGTTCACAAACAAATTTTGGAAAAGACAAATTCACAAAATTATATAACTGTTTAGAGAATATATAAAAAGATGCCCAAATAATTATACATTATGTATATATATATGTTTACAAAGGTATAGACAAATAAAATGACTATTTTTACCTATCAGATTACTAAAGGTAGGGAAATGGAAATTTTTGTACAACAGTACATTGAATATAAACTTGTACAACTTTTCTGGAAGGTAATGTAATAATATATTTTAAAACATTAAAGATGCATCTACTTTGATCCAGCAATTTAATTTTTAGGAATTTAAAGAAATCTGAAGGAAATACTTGAGTAAATGAGCAAAGATATAAGTAAGAGGTGGTTCACTGCCATGCTGCTGATATTTTAAAAAGTAAGTATAAACTAATAAACTAAACATCCATTCCAAGGACTGGCAAAATAAATTATGGTACATTACATGTAACAGGATCCTATACAGCCCATATAATGGGTGATGCAGACCTATAAATCTTAAAATGCATTGTGTGTGTGTGTGTGTGTGTGTGTGTGTGTGTGTGTGTGCATACTTAAAAAGCAGATAACAGAAGAGTACTTATAGTATAATATGAGAGCTTGAGAGCTTACCATTTACCTATGACAAGTCTGGAAGAATATATTCCAATTGGTGATAGTGGTTATCTCTAGAAAAAGGGAGCAAAATTATGGAATTTTCTTTCTCTGTATTGCTCAAATTATTTAAAATTAACATATATTAGCATATACTATGAGAAAACATATTAAAGATATTTGCACATTAAAGACAATTAGAAAGCATTAGTCCTATAATTACCTCATGAATTATCAGAACAATAGATACACTTTGTAGAGATTAATGACATCCATCTTTTTTAAGCTTTTTTGAGTCATAAGTAGAACGGTTAAAATTTCAAAGAGCCCAGGAGTTCAAGGGCTCTTTTGAAATTATTTTTATTAAAATAATTACACTGGTGTTATTTTAGTTAAATACAATATTTGAAATATTTATTATTCTTGAGAATGGTCAATGCACTTCTAATACAATATGTAAAAATAGCCCTTAAATATCATGTCAGACCTCTGATTTGGAAATTATTTTAGTATCTTACATTTTAGAACTAATAATATTAGTTAGCTGTGGTGAAAAGAATGTCCAAAGCACAATTCAGTTTTATAATGTATCTGGAAAATTAGTCTTATAAATATTTAAACAATCAATTTGAATGAAAATGTGTATCTTCTCTTAAATCAAATTTTTTCTACCTCTAAGGTTTGAGAGTAGATGTAAGCATATGAATGTACCCAGAGGTGGAAAAGAAGGTTAAACTTGAGAATTCCTTACTAGATGTTTAAATCAATTTGATTTCAATTAAATGCACTCCACTGATAATAAGATTCAAATCTGCTATATTGAATTAGGATTTAAGTATATCCCAAAGTATTGGGCTCAGTAAGAATTACATATAGGTTACAAGGTCTTTTACCTTTCAGAGCATACATACTATTAATAATTATAAAATTTCAACCACAATCATCAAATATAGAATGTAGCCTTAAAAGCTCTCCATCAGGTGAACTTGGCCTATCCCTCTATTTTCATGTCTAGATATGTAACTACAAATTTGCCTTTGCATTCCGCCCCGCAACACACTCCCAAATCTTCAGAAAGTATACATTAGTTCACCAAAAAGTCTTTCATTGTCTTCTAATCCACATTCCTTTATTTCTTCTTTAATAGAGGGTCCTTATCTGAACTCAACTAATCTCACTCCACAAAATAATTTCTGCCCATCTCTGCCACTTAAAATACTCTTCTACTAATTGTACTTAACTCTACATTTAACATGTGAAATCTCAGGACATTCAACTAATGAATGCAATATTACACTCAAAATGTTACTTAAAATAGCAGATATTTTCTGAATCATTTTTACACTCTCAGGAAAAATATAGTTGTCAATATATTTTTTCAAAAAACTAAATCTGCTCAATTACCACCAGGCTTATTGCCTCCTGAGAATATCTGCAGAATGAGAATATAATTATAAGTAATAAGAAATGGTAACTAAAATAAAAAATGCTCTCATAGCCCATGTAAATCTGAGCCAAATTCAGGTGAAATATTAACACTCAATTCTAGTGCATATTTTTTATTTTGGTCAGGGTCTTGCTCTGTCACTCAGGCTGGAGTGCAATGGTGGGATCATGGCTTACTGCAGCCGTGAAATCCTGGGCTCAAGCAATCCTCTCGCCTCAGCCTCCCAAGTGGCTGAGAGTATAGGCATGCATCACCACTCCAGGCTGTTTCTTTATCTCTGTAGAGACAGGTTCTTGCCATGTTGTCCAAGCTGTTTTCAAACTCCTGGGCTCAAGTGATCCTCCCGCCTCAGTCTCCCAAAGTGCTGGGATTACAGGCATGAGCCACCGTGCCCAGCTCTGGTGCATATCCTTGTGTGTTGGTTCACTTTAAAAAAAAAAAAAAACTGCCAGGTGGCTTACTTTCTTGGCACTGAGAGAAGTTTACAAAATCTTATGAAATTTGAGTAGTTATGTTTGCTTATCTAGGCAATTTTTTTTATTTTTTTATTTTTATTTTATTTTATTTTATTTGAGACAGAGTCTCACTCTGTCGCCCAGGCTGGAGTACAGTGGTGCAACCTCAGCTCACTGCAACCTCCGCCTCCTGGGTTCACGCCATTCTCCTGCCTCAGCCTCCTGAGTAGCTGGGACTACAGGTGCCTGCCACTGCGCCTGCCACCACGCCTGGCTAATTTTTTGTATTTTTATTAGAGATGGGGTTTCTCCATGTTGTTCAGGCTGGTCTTGAACTCCTGACCTCAGATGATCCGTCCACCTCGGCCTCCCAAAGTGCTGGGATTATAGGCGTAAGCCCGCCTCAGTGGCAATTTTTAAATGGAATAAACATCACACTTGTTTGCAGGACTATAAGCTAGCACATACTGATCTCTAGGCTATCAATTTGTCTGAACACAAAGATATTTAACACACATTTGAATTGTGTGTAGGGTGTGGTTGTTACATAAGTTCATTCGTTTTACTAAGGGATCTTGAATTCCATTTGTTGATGAAACTGACCAGCACAACCCCTGAGAGGATAAATTTCTAATACATCTACTAATATTATCTGAAAAGAATAAGATATTTCACCTCAGGAAGTGTGAATCCCATGATGTAGAAATAAAAGAAAAATATTCACATTACACTTTCTTCTTTAGTATTTAATCATAAAAGGATCATGGGCAGCAAAGATTCCAAGCCATGCAGGGTCAATTAAATTAAATTTGTTTCAAAATAATGTTTCATCTTTTAGATCTCATTTAAATTATCAGCAAAAAGAACGTTAAAGTCATTTATTTCTGTAGAACTGGTATAGTGACAGGGAAATAAAGTACTTAATGAAACCATTTATAATCTATAATCATTTTATTAAAACAGCATTTCCACTAAACACTTTACAATGAAAAAGTATAGTAATTTACAAATAGCTTAGGGACTGAGCTCTAATTAATCTCTTTAAAAAAAATACTTGACACCTCAACATATTTATACTTTATTAGCTTTGCTATCAGGAAACCTTGTAAAAAATGAGAAAGGCAATCCATAATGAATTCACTACACTTAATTTCATATTATCATCCCTAGGTGGTTTCTTAATAACACTTGCATGAATTGAGAGAAAGTGACAGCTAGTCTTATCTATGAGAATGACTGTGTTCATTATTACTTTAAGAACCTCCAAGTAAAACCACTTTGTGTTCAAAAATGAAAATCAAAATAAGGAGGGTAAGAGCATCTCACCTTTCTAAGAAGTTTTAATTTTTTCAAAGGGTTTCCACATTTGTTTTCTGTTGACATCTCTGAAGATTTGAGATGAGAAAATGCAAGACACAGGAGACTGAACAACATGCCAAAAACATAAATCAGTGGCAGAGTCAGATGCCAAACCCAGGTATTTCTAGTCCTGGTGAAATTTTTTTCCTTTAAGTTTATACTACCTCTACATTTTACTACTATGCTTTTCTAGTTCCAAGTGTATTTTCTCACCCTTCACTACGGGAAGGAATACAAGTTTTACCATTATTGATATTTTCCCTCACTGAATGTTGAAAAAAAAGAACTGTTACTTACACTAATTATCTCTTCCCAACAGTGCTATATTACTTGGCAAAAATGCCGCTCAAAAAGAGGGCCACAAAGGCCAGGTGCGGTGGCTCATGCCTGTAATCCCAACACTTTGGGAGGCCGAGGCGGGTGGATCACCTGAGGTTAGGAGTTCGAGACCAGCCTGGCCAACATGGTGAGACCCTGTCTCTACTAAAAATACAAAAATTAGCTGAGTGTGGTGGTGCACACTTATAATCCCAGCTACTCAGGAGGCTGAGGCAGGAGAATCACTTGAATCCGGGAGGGGAGGTTGCAGTGAGCCGAGATTGAGCCATTTCTCTCCAGCCTGGGTGACAAGAGCAAAACTCCGTCTCTAAAAAAAAAAAAAAAAAGAGGGCCACAAAAAAGAGGACATGGTATGGAAAATTCTTCATATTTTGGAATATTTGAAGTTCTTCAACATATATTTATGGAGTCCCAATTTAGTGTCAAGCACTGAGCTGGATATATAGTGCATATACTGTAATGGCACCTGTAGGAGAAAGATATATTAAAGGATAATCACACAAACATGTAATTTAAAATGATAAGAACTGCTCTGAAAGAAAATATGGAGTATTTTAGGTAGAGGGGAACTAATTTAGACTGGAGTGGGGTACTACGCATCCCCTGAGGAACTAACACAAGCTAGGCAAATTGCCAGGCAAATAGTGTGGGAAAAATATTCCATGCAGAAGAAACAGCACGGGAAGATCCTGAGGAGACTCCACTAACACAGGCCCCTACAGCAAATGCATAGGAGAGGAGGGAGGAAATGAAATGAAGCTGTGGCAGGGGGCTGTAAAAGCCATTTTTTATAAATCTGGAATTTATTCTATGGAGGTTTTAAGGCAAAGAAGTGAAAGTTCTTACATTTTCAAAAGAAAAAATATATCTAGCTGCTAGAGAATGGATTTGGAGATACAAATTAATGGAGTAACCACTTGGTGATTGCAAGAGAGTTCCCAGTATACTGAACTAAGGTGAGAACAAGAGAAAAGTGGATTTATTTGAGGAGCTACTGATGAACTGGGTTGGGAGCAATGGGGAGAGGGAGAGAGGGATCCCCAGATCTCTGGTTTGGGCAACTGAGAGGCTGGAGGAGCTGCTTGTAGAAACAGAGAAGTCTATAGAAGGAACAGATTTGTAAGTGGCTCTAGAGTATTAAGAATACAATTGTAAATAAGGAACTAGATCCTAAGATAAACCCTGAGTTCAAGGTAAAAATTTGGGATTTAGGAACTGTCAGGTTATTAGTGGTTTTCAAAATCATGGGGCTGAATGAGATAACTTAAGGAAAGAAGGCAGAATAAAAAGAGAAGAGTACTTAGCAGTGACCTTTGAAAGTGCAGAACATTTTGAGCTTGGTTAGGAGAAAAGCTAACAAAGGAGAGGGAAAATAGTGGTATTGGTAATCTCAGGATTTCCACTAAATAAATTATATTCCTTGAAATTTTCAGTAATAATAATTTGTAACCCTTGATATTTGGTATAATTAGGAATTTGACACGATTACTAATATTATATAATAAAAGTGAACAAGCTATTTAGAAATAAAATTGTTCATAACACTTTTTCCTTGTCTCAAGCTTAAAGAGATATTCAACTTAAATGTAAAAATGGCATAATATAAAAATCCCTCAGTGTCTTATCAACACCTAAACTGGCAAAAGGCAAATTAAAAACATGTTTTACATCTAACTTTGTATCCAAGGTGAGGCAGAGACTGATATTTTCCTGTAGTTTAATCAAGGGAAAATAGGCCCTTTAAGTTCTATTAAATTATTTAACAGCCACAAACAGATGCAATAATTCATTGTTGGCAAAACAAATCATTTTCTCTTCTTTCTCAATGCCAATAAAGCAAACATTCACAGGCACTTAATCAACATCCTTCCATAAGGCCAAACAATACAACCGTTTTATGAATGACAAAGGAAACATACATTAATAGGGTGACAGAATAATGCATCATTGATAAGCCAAAGATTTGGGAAAGTTTAAAAAATGATTCTGAAGGATATGGAAAACAAAAATTTACCATGATTCTGAATGTGCATGTCATTTCATTGAATTGACATTTATCAAGCAATTGGTGGAGAGAATTCTGTAAGAAGAATTAAGTTATTTAGACTTGAAAAGCTTTCTGACTTATTTATTTGGTCTGGAAAGTTGAAAGCCTTACTCATCCTGGATTGAGAGTACCCCTTGGACTAAAGAAGTTTTTTTAAAGAAGTTTCCTAAAGTATTCTGGCAAGGTGGCAACTAAACCAATCCAGAAAGGACTACCACCAAAGAAAATGAAAAACTTAGATTAATATTATTCTGATTTGCTAAAAATTTCCCTTCCTTCAAATAGAGTGGAGCTTTTCTCTCTATCCTAATCTTAGAGGATGTTGAGTGTGTCCATTATTCCCTACAATGCAGTCTACAGAATGTAGGTTTGTGTATTTGCATAGTCTATGTTCTTGAAGACTACATAAATCTTAGCTGCCCCTCAGTCTTATTCTGTATTTCAAAAATCCTAATCCCTTGAATTTTCTGTCTCCACAAGCTTCTGTCTCCATAAGCTTCCCTATACCAAACGGTCCACTGAAATTATTTGCTCCAACAATTCATTTGCTGAGGATAAATGGGTGCTCTCTTGTCTGCAAAACATAAAGACTTTCATTCAGTCTTTGCTTTAAATTAGTTAAAATCCTATAGAAGAAGTACAGTCATAAATGAATCACAGTTAATAATTAATACAATTTTGGCAAAGTTCCACAAAACTAAAATAGTACTCTCCTTTTGGCCCTGGAAACAAATTTTACTTAAATTTTCAAACATACTAAGACTATAACAATGGTGCGGTTAGTGGGAATCAATAGCTTCCTAGATTTTGTAGTTAAATTTGACCTCAACAAAATGAAAATTATTAAATTATATAGAATTTCTAATAGATTATAAAGTGAACATTTTAATTGTGGCTAAGCCTTAAATTACAAGCATATCAAATAGAGAATAAAAACATAAAGTTCACTGTTATTTGCACTGGTAATATGGACAAAATCTATTAATGCCTAAGACAGGATAGAAATGAAGATTTTTTTAAGTTGCAAACTAACCTCTGTTAAATTCCCGAATTAAGGAGCTCAATCTGATGAATAAAATAGTAACCTAGTCAGTAAATCTAAGTCACATTTGACTTTTGATGAGCTTATGGAAGGTAAACAAACTAGGATATAAGGCACTATAATGGAACTTGGAGGACTAGGGACTTATGTTTTAGTTTTGTTAATTGCTCCATCCTTAACACCTACTATTATTATATGAACTTTCTTATTCACAGGTTTCTTGCCTGTCTCCCAGAGCTCCCTGAGAGTGGATATCCCCAGTACCTGCCACCATGCCTGGCACCTCTCAAGCAGTCAATAAATACTTGTTGAATAAAAGTTTGTAGAAATCCCATAGCTATGTACTATAATGATTACTAGCTTATTGAACATTCCTATGGCAACAGAACGGGCCCTAAGAGGTGAAAGCAAGATTGGAACCCAGATATCTGACTCCTGGAGTACTTGCTCTTAACCAGTACTCCAGGAGTTCAATTCTGTGGGAACACTATCTCCACATAAGGCTTCTGCCTGAACATTGGATTTTACACCCAAATTGGCTTTTCTATTTCAAATCATCAGAGAGGATAAAAATACTTCCCATGAAAAGCTGATGGAACACAGTATACAAATTTAAATAATGGTATGAACCCTAAATATGATGGCTATGTTTCTTTCTTAGAAAACTAAGTTTACAAATATGTCATTAGTCATGTGTGTAAAAAGAGCAGGTAGCAATCATTTTATCCTCACTGACATGAAAAACAGCTCTCACATGATTGGTTTCTCCATGTCAACATTATTTTCCTCTTTTCAGTATCTGAACTTTCAGAATCTCAACAGTAATGATTCAGACAAAGCATTCAAATTAATCAATGCTATCATACTTGTACAGCCAAGTGACCTTTCTCTTCTCCTTGCAAAGTAAACAGTTAGCTTGACTTTTAATACATTCACTTTGAGTTTGCTTCTGATTATGTTGTTTTGCTGGGTTCTGGTTATTCTAGGACACAGTTATTACTGTGCAGACCACTCACTCTCCCTTGAACCTACTTATCAGCCTCCTCCTTGCTCTCATTTCTGCCTCCTTCTTCTCGGTTTCCATCTGTGCTCCATATTTATTCAAGGTAGCATTTAAACCCAAGCATAATATATATGTATGAGTGTATAAATTTATTTAAGGATATTTTAAAAAATTGAAAATAAAGAGGAAAAAACTCAGTAAAGTATAGTATTAAGTACTTAGTATAGTATTAAGTAACTATACTAAAAAATTTCCAGCTATTAAATGAGACTGGAACCCAGATGTGTCTCATCTCAAGACTACATTCTTTCCACTACATCAGTGGTCCCCACAGTGTGATCTTTGGACTGCCAGCAACAGCATCACCAAGGACCTTGTTAAAAATTGCAGACTTTCAGACTCTACACCCACTGGATCTGGGGGTGGGGTTCAGAAATTTTGGGTTTTAATAAGACAAGGGTGATTCTGATACACCCTTAAGTTTTACTGCATTACATCATTGGTCCCAAACTTACCTGATTATAAGAATCACCTGAGATAGCTCATTGACTTAGTATATTCCCAGGTTCTACACATCTGATTCAGTAGGTTAAAGGGGGGAGGCCAGGAATTTATTTTTTTTAACAAATGATACCCTAGGCTCACCCCCAAGTGATTCTTATGGTCAGGAAAATTTGAAAACACTGCACCAAATCAGAATATTCAACTTCATACACTTATGAAAAAAACTAGACATTGCATTTAATTATATGATGGCTCCATGTTAAGAATATAAGGATACTGAAACCGTGTTTTTTCAGCACTTGAATTTTAATTCCATTGTTAGTTCAGAAAAAAAGAGGAAGGGTATTGCAATATAATAGGGAGTCACCACTTTAAATGTGTTAAGAAATATTATTTTACATAAGCAGTTCTAGAGAAGTATATATAATTGAGTTACGTATAAATTGTAGGTAACTGAGAAAAGTCCAACCTCCATTCAAATATACAGAAGTTAATAAAGAAGCTTTATTTGCATAATAAAGGATTTCTTCCTTTAAGAAAAAATTTATCACAATTGTCTTGTATAAATTTGGAGCTCCCCTAGAATAGATAAAACTTGTCTTTTAATGCACAAAATTTATCAGAAAGGATAATCTTTGCCATTTCAAAAAAATAACGTGTAAATGAGACAAATAATTTGAAGGGCAGATTTGGAGCAGTCTGGGGCTTCCTTTGAATTTCACTTTATTTCCTGGAATTAGGCTCCAGAATCTTACCATGTCCTAAACAATTCAAATTTCTGACTAATGAATTGTAGCAGTTCAATGTACTCAGATGAAGAGGAAGGGAGCCGTCATTTATTAAAGTCCAACCACTGCCGTGCTAGACAGGATGGAATACATTTCTTCTCAGTATTGTGTAATGTGTATGGAGGAAAAAGTAAGAATCAACGTACCTATTGACCCTTATAATACATTTGCAGCCAGGCTCAGTGGCTCACACCTGTAATCCCAGCACTTTGGGAGGCTGAGGCAGGCAGATCATGAGGTCAGGAGTTCGAGACCATCCTGGCTGACACGGTGAAACCCCATCTCTACTAAACATACAAAAAATTAGCCAGGTGTGGTGGCACATGCCTGTAATCCCAGCTACTCAGGAGGCTGAGGCAGAAGAATTGCTTGAACCCGGGAGGTGGAAGTTGCAGTAAACCGAGATGGTGCCATTGCACTCCAGCCTGGGCGACAGAGCGAGACTTGTCTCAAAATAATAATAATAATAATGACGATACATTTGCAATGGAGGAATGATTTGATAATTCCTAAATCAGTGCTTCCCATTATCCCAGATCATATACCAATGAAGCCAGCTTCTCTAGTTCCCCTTCCCTCCCTTCCTTCCCCTCTTAGGCAACAGCTGTTCCTCTCCCTGCCCACCCTCCTTCACTGCTGGGGGCCGTTAAAGAGGATTCGAACGGTTAACATCCCTTTATAATGTGTAGGTAGTACAAATCACACTGGAAAACAATATTCACACCTCAAGCATTTCCTAGTGTTCAAGAAACAATAGAAATTGTATCGGTAAGATATAAATGTATTGAAAGTTACTAATTAACAGAGTGCACGTTTTAGATAAAATGTTCACATCTTTATAACACACCCCTACTCCCACCATGATCAGTGGCTTTCAGTAATCATTACTTTCACTCCCACACACTGAGTTCCTAATTATAATTATCTGTAATCTTTTTTTCACGAGCATATGGAACTAGAATTCCACAATGGGATATTTCCATTGCTAATCATTACACTTGGCTGGGTTGATTTGCAGTCCTTACTTCCAATTGGGATTTGTTTACCCCCAAAGTAGCTTATGAGAAAAGTTAAATAGAAAGTTCCATAGAGTTGCTGGCTTATTAGGGTTAATAAATACTTTCAGCTAATAACCACAATATTTAACACATCAATATCAGTGCATTGATCCTGAGACAATCCGATTAACATTCCTTATGTTCATTTTACTTAATGGTACTTTAAAGGAAGGTGGCATTTTTCAAGTCACCTCAAGGGATGACATCTACCACTATTTTATAACAAAAAAAATCAACATTATTTCTTTAAACAAACAGTGATATAAAGGTAGAAAGCTCTGATTAATTGAACCTAATTATTTTCAAAACATAAATTTGAACTATGCTAATCAAAAAGTTCTATAGAAAAGTTTGGGGCAGTGGAAAGGAAGGAAAGAAAGAAATCCATCAAGATTCCAACAGCATGTACATGTGTGTCAATGCATTCCCATAAACTATCTTCATGGACAAATTGACAGCACGATGGTGAACTGTAGGACTGAAATGTTCCAACTCGGCCAGAGGTACTGTGTCAGCTCAGCAGGAAAATTCATCTGAGACCAATTCAACAAGCAGTACATTTGTGTTTAACACTACAACATTCAGCACTCTCCACACCCAGGAGTTTATATGTCTTTGCTAAATTTAACATCTGTAATGACTTAACACAGAGACAACTTCAACTCACTGATAATTCACATATCTCTATCAAAATTAGATCATAAATTTTCTGCTGAATTTTGAATTGGGTTCCACTGCCCATTACCGTAGTCACTTAAAGTTAGTACACTTTTCAGCGGTGAAGATGGCAGGAAATGAATGGACAGACTATCAAAGGTTTTGTTTCTCCACATTTTAAGTGAATGGTCGTTTCTGATTTCTTCATTTTTAATGAAAAAGAAGTGAGAAGAGCCAACTAGTGGTCTTTTTCAAAGGACTCGAATTCAGTAGGGTATCAGAAGCTTGTGAGCTGTCAGCAGCACCTGTGGCTCCTGCATTTGTACACAGGGAGGGGACATCCCAGGCCCATAACAGTATGTGCAGTCAGATAACCTCATGCAGCCAGATAACCTTGCGCTGCCCTGCCAACCTGACACCTTTAGAGATCAGTTTAAACATGGCCTGTCTCCAATTCCACAGCCCAAGACAGCGCAAAGCCCCTCTGTCCCCGTGCATCGACGGAATTCCTGCAACAAAAAATGCCATCTCTTTCCTACTCTGTTTGCCTGGGCTACCTCTATTCTCAAAGGTTTCCCTGCTTGCAAAACAGAGAATTCAGAACCTTTCCCAATTTCCTGAGAAATCCACACATAATTAAACTCCATGATTGTACTTAAAATTCTGAGTGTGTGTGTCCTGGGTAGAGGAGGCAGGGGGCTAGCTTGGCTGAACCCACTCTCCCATCCTCTCTCAGCTTTCTCGTCCCTCAGTGCCAAAACTACTTTCTTCCAACTACACCAGGCTCCTCGCGGTCTCTTCTTCTCTGTCAAGCAAAGTACTTCTTCCTCCACAAATGAAATGCCTTGCCTAAGTAAAAGAGATGATGTCTGTCAGGCATAGTTAACCTAAAGATAATTTTCTACCTCAAAGTATGTAAAACATACAATATAAAAATCAACTTTACTGGTACTATACAGAAACCAAACAGATGTTTCCAGATAATAACATCCTGATTCTTCATATATTTTTTAATAATGAGATACATCAAATTTAAATATTTGATTTCTTTTTATATGCTCTAAGACTTTTCATATGTATCAACTCACAAATCAGAAAGAGAATTTTGTCAGGTCATGTTGTCCCTTTTCATAGGTATACACATTTGGAGGGGAGCGTTGGCTATGCCCCAAAAGCTTGAGTTGGTCTCTGATGGATAAAGTCACACAAGAATACAGGAGAGTAGCCAGAATAGGGAACCTGCTTATCCAGAAGGAGCAAATGGCAGGACTGCTAAGTGTTCAGGGGGTAGTAATTATATGAACTCAGCTAGAGCTCATGATTCCTGTTGGGGGTTATAGGCAATGAAACAGTATATATCAATGACACCCACAGTAAGATGTACTCAGGATTCTCTTAGGTTAGTTCCTTGGAAATCTTTAAGAAAAAGACAAAAATGAAAGTCATATCCTGCTCTATAATCTGTTTTTGCATGAGTATTTAATGTGCATAATTTTAATTCTGTCTTCAGCCTGATTGAAGGAATCGCTAAAATGGAATGAAATAGAATAAAATAAAATAAAGCAATCATATGTCTTTATACTAAAATCTAAAAAGAACGGAGAATTTTTGAAACTGACCTATCTATATAAGACACATATTTGGATAAGTAAAACAGCTATCTTTTAGATTGCTATGATATCTGGTACAGGTAGATAGAGCAACTTGCTTATATAGAATATAATTAAAGTAGTTCTTAATTATATTTATTAATATAATTAAAATTGTTTATTATAATTGTTACTTTTATAAACTATATCCCTCAAAATGATTTTTTAAAAATGTTTACAGAAGCCAAGCAGTCTGGTAATTGCATGTATTTGATCTTATTAAATGGCACTTTTTATTCCTGAAAATTCTTTTCTATGATTTGACTATAATTTAATATTATTTTGATGTATCGAAACTCATACACTAAAATGAATTCTTCCTCCTTTACAGTAGACACCTTGAGAAGGGATATATTTAATTTGGGATGCAGCCTTTGATTAAAGGTACTGTTTTATTAAAAATTAAAATTTTATTTATAGAATTGTAGGAAAGCAATGTCTATATAAAACCAACCATACAGAAGGACATAAAATGGAAAGTAAAATTCAACCAGTATCACAAAAATGCAGAGGTATCACTATTAATATTTTGGCAAATATCTTTCCAGCCATTTATTTATATGAATATGTTACATAAAGAAAAAACAACTACAAAAATACCATCATACTATATCTGCAGTTCGAAAACCAGTTTTCACTCCACACTATATCAGAGGCATCATTCAAAATAGGTAAGTTTTAAGTCACATAGTATTTATTTGTTGAATCCCTCTTTGATGGATATTTCTATTTTTTTCCAATTTTACATTACTATGAACAACTCTGCAACAAGCTAAATGCATTTTCAGAACACGATTTTGGAATAATCTTCTAAGTCTAACACATAGACATCTGCAGTTTTAGGAAACTATACTTCTCTAAGTGTATCTTCCCTTGGAAATATTCAAGTCTTTCAAAATCAGGTCTAGTTAATAAGAGTAGCACTATTTCTCGCCACGCCTAGCTGTGACTGACAGAGGAAATTCCTTGTAAAGCACTTGGAGTTCCATGCATCATACTTTTTTGGTGGTAGTATGATAGAAAAGAGCATAGACTTTGTCAGGCAGATCTGTTTGTTTTTATAAGTAACTTTTTATTGAAGTGAGCATATATACAGAAAAGTACACAAATTATAAATATACATCTTGATGGATTTTCACAAAATATACTGGGTAACCAAAACTGATATTTCCTCCTTTTATTACTGCTTTTCTATTCACTATGTAATCTTGGATAAATCATCTCTCTGCACCTTTGAAATGGGCATGACAATACCTGCCTTAAAGGTGTACCGAGAAGACTAAATGAAACAATGTGTACAAAGCATCTAGTACACAGTAAAAAAAGGTTAGTATCCTCCCTACTACCCCCACACCAGGGAACAGGTCCTGGCCACATCCTCACCAGCTCCTCCTGTCCTTCAACCCAGCACCATCAAGAGCCTAGGATGCCTCGTTCCCCAGACTGCTTTCATTATGAACCTCTCCATTATAAAATAAGTTCTTAATACTGTTTGAGAGGAATACAATCACATCGAGGACTCTAATTTAGAACCACAGAGTATTGACTCCTAAAAGATAAAGAGGCTCATCTCCATTAAGAAAAGTGGTTGTTCAAATGATTCACAAGTTTAATTCTGCTACTTGCCAAGCATTATTAAAAATATAATGAAATGCAAAGCTCCCTGAGTTTTCACCAGGGCACCCACACATGCCAAGTGCAAGTCTCACTCAGCAGCTCAAAATGTGCTATATCCTCAAGCATAAAACCCTATTTTTATTCAAAAACCCCAAATCAAGGTTGTGGATAGCGTTGATTGAAATGGAATTCATCTTTTGCCATTGCTGCTAAAGCTATCCAGGTGCTGAATGTGGTGTCCAGGGGTGCAAATCAAAGTCAGCAACACCCAACACTTCAACAGGTCTATCTACACTGTGAGGTCTCAACCATCGCTCAGGGACTGCTCTATCAAGACAAAATTTAGTAATGCGGTAAGCACACTGCCAAATGCTAATAGTCACAAAAGAAAATAGTGCAAAAATAATTTTGTTAAAAAACAGCTACTATGAATCTATATGCTAGGCTCTCTGTTATGTAAGCTCTTTACACACACGATCCTATTTTCCCCTCACAACAGGTCTTCGTGGTGGTTTCATTATCACCATTTTGCAGATGAGGAAACTGAGGCTTTGAAAGATTAAGTAACCTGCCCAAGATCACGAAGTGGAAAGATAAATTGAGATTCAAATCTGGCTCAAAGGAGAGATAGCTTAAATGTAATCCTAGGTCTGTCTGACTCAGAGGCCTTGGTCTCCAAAAACTACATAGTACCAGAAAAGTCCCACTTTGTCCCACTGATGTTTGCATTCCGATCAAACACCAATCTTTTAAACTAATCAATCCTTATGGGGGGGAGGGGAACAACTTGATATTGTAAGGATAAGAAAAAAATTATTAAACCAAAAGCCTTCCTGATGAAAAATTCTGTTGCTAGAATTTTCCAGTTGTTTTGTTTTTAATTAGCAGGTAATTAATAGTGTGATAAACAACATGAAGACAGAGAAATGTTATTGAAATGGTTGTTGTCTATAATAATTTTCTCCACTTCTTTGAATGCTTTTAATTTTAAAATTGAAACACAGGCATCTTAGTGTAACTCCCTCTCAATTTGAAGCCAAGAAATTGTGGAAATTTCATATGGAAATTTAAATAATCCCTTTATCTCCAAAGCCAATTATTTTTCTTTCCTACTTGGAACCTGCCCACCCCATTTGACTTCCAGCCATAAGCTTGGAGGTTGGTTGGAAAGCTGTAATGAGCTGAGGCTGCCAGCATGTCAGGTTCCATTGTGTGTATGTGACCGCTGATCACGGTGATGAAACAGTGATTATTTCATCCCTATCACTACAAATAAATGTGATTTTATGACAGCACTGGAGCTTTCATCATTTATTTAAAAGGAAAGAAAAAGATGTAAAGGTGGCTATACAATCCTTATCATAAAAATCTGTTTGCTCCCTGAGATCAGCAGTTGATTTTAATTTTATATTATCTATGTCGTTGTGAGATAAAAAGCCTTATTAATGTAAACATCATTCCAAGGAGAACCATGCTTCATGCTTCACCTCATCATATTTTAGAAGTACATAACATAAACGGTTTTCTCCAACTAAACCTAATTCACTCAGAGTTGAAAAAAAAAAAACAAAATAAAAGGTTTGAGAAACTACAGAATATTGATGTATTTAAGATTCACATGAATCAATTATTCAGTTATCTGGAGACTATCTGGAAATTAGATGTAATGTAATACTCCAAGAACATCTGCAATAGATCTTTCTCTCTCTCTCTCTCTCTCTCTTTCTCTCTCTCTCATACACAGACACACACACACACAGAGAGAGAGAGAGAGAGAGAGAGAGAGAGAGAGAGGCTTTGACCAGCAGTCCTTGAGGTTTGTGAATATTATGGGTTTAAGAGTTTAAATCAATTGGTTTATGCATTTTTCAGCCCCAAGTTCCTACAAAACAGGAAACGTTATATTTGCAGAATGCAGGTCAGAGCACTAGCTGTTTCTTCCCAGAACCTTCGACCTGTACAACGTGACTAAGAAGTATTTGGGAAGAGAGTTTAGGAAGGGTTTCCTGTTTGTCTTCATTTATTAGACTCTTCTTTTCTTTCCCAACACACATATACTATATAAAACATCATGAATGCCATATAATGTGCACCTTCTGATTTGCCAAAATGTTTTTATATTTGTTTTTCATCTGAGGTCATTTCTTAATATATCTAGATATTGTTCCCAAAGATGTGGAATCATTTCTCTCCCTCAGAGATCATTATTTTCCATAATGCCCCAGTACATTGAGGAAGTGGATTCCAGCTTGCTGTAGCAATGTTGGCCATCCCCACTATGAACTATCTTAACCCACAGGGAAATCAAAATCTTAAGTATCTGCTGTTTTACTTATTAAGTCTGAACCTAAAAGCCAGTCCCAAAAATGTCTCTGAAATTTTGCTGGCCATTTGGAAGTCAATTTTTATCTCCTCCCACAGCACTCCTCTTGCAAATGTTGCACTGACAAAAGGAACAGCCTGCTCATCTTGGTCCCTTGGTAAAGAGCTGCTGCCCAACTGGCAAAGAATGGGTTCCTATTCTACTCCCAAAAAAGTTACAGAGATGGGGCTGGAGTCAATGGTGTTAGATGTGTTCCAGGCTTAGCAAGCCACCAGGGGGCATTCCCTTCTGGGCCACACACTGCTGTCCTCTCTGAATTTTGTTAAGACTTGTCTTGTCGCCTAAGATGTGATCAATCCTAGAGACTGTTTCATGTGTACTTGAGAAGAAGGTGTATTCTGCTGCTGTTGGATGGAGTATTCTGCATATGTCTGTTAGGTCCATTTGGTTGAAAATGTAATTTAAGTCCAACACTTATTGATTTTCTGTTCAGATCATCTAAACAAAAAATCAATAAATATTGGACTTGAATTATACTTTTACACCTATGTGTAAATGTGTGAATATTGGACTTGAATCACATTATTATACCTATGTATTTAGGTGTTCTGATGTTGGGTGCATACATATTTGCAATTGTTATGTCTTCTTGAGGAATTAACCTCTGTATCCTTATGTAATGACCTTCTTTGCCTCTTTTTGTAGTTTTTGACGTAAAGTCTATTTTTATCTGACATAAGTGTAGCTACCCCTGATCTCTTTCCTCTGAACATTTTTACCCTTTCCCAAGAGAGAAAGGCAACTCCATAAATACTCCTGCAGCTGCAATACACTGAAGTGGGAAAGGCAGTGAAATCATGAAGTTTATCTTCTTTGACATGCTCTACACAAAACCCATTGGTTCTACACCCAAACCAGTTCCCCTTCCAAAGGCCTGTCTTCAACAATGGCAGTCACAATTATCTGAATTGCTTTATTTCTCCTGATCTTTTCCCCATCTAATAGGTTACTGCTCTCTTTCTCCTTTGGCAGGTCTCTCCTTCCTTTCTATTTCTATCACAACCAGCCTAGTTGAAGTACTGCAGCTCACAGCTAGATTACCGAAATGGACTGGATCAATAAGGGTCCAATGAGGGAAATAGGAACCACTCCAACATTCTAAAAAGAGGGAATGTAATACAGTGACTTAGATACATCACTGCTAAAAGAGCTAAGAAGCCAAAAGAGAATAAAGAGGCAACCCGGAGGCTAACAACTGCAGGTAGCTACTACCACTCCTTGGCTGGAGGGACAGAAGGAGAGGATGGTATTACCAGCACCAAAGGGCCAGAGTCATGGAAAAAGCTGGAACCACAGTGGGCCTGTCTTACACAAGCTGGAGCCACAAAGCAAACACAGCAGCTGTGCTTGCCTGCCCATCTCCTGCCAGTGCCTCTCATTGGCTAAACCCAGCTGGGAAAGAGCTAGGAAATCAGCCTGCAGGGGTTGAACCTTCAGCCATGCAGATAATGAAGTGGGAGAAAAGGAATAGATCTGACAGCAAAAAAGGCCAATGATTAGTTCATAAGATAAATTCACTCTTACATGTAGCTCTCACTATAGATTACTGACTTCCCATTTTATATAATGAAATATGGCCTCAAGAGGATAAGTACCAAACCGAGGGTCAAAGTACCAAACCTAGGGTTCTATCCTGCAGCCCAGGCTAGAACTTGAAGGTCTCTCAGACCTAAAATCCCACTTTTTCCCAAGTCTCCACTGCCTTCTCTTGTCAGTTGCCCTTCAGCTACAACATTTATACCATCATGGGCTATATATAGCATATGATTACTTTTATATAATAAGCAGAGACTATAACTGTAATCTCGAGGCTCCAGTCTTCTTCCAGGCTAGGAATGAAGGGGGAGGTACCTCATTTTATTTAGAGGCCTCCAGCACCTTGAGGAGATACTTAACCTAGTCAGTCCCTTCTTCCCTGCCAGTCCAAGGCCCAGAATCAGCAAAGCCTGTCTTACCTGGAATGAGTGAGCACTTCCCAGGTGGGATTTGAGGAGACACAGAAAAGGCCCCACATTTCAAAATGACATTCCTTATTTTTACTCATTGCTTCATTTCACAAATATTTATCAAAAATTCTATGATATCCAATAAGGACTATGGGAAACCTGTATTGGTTGGTGCTGAAATAATGCTTCCAAAATTTATGTCAATTAGTGTAAGGTAATGGTTTTTTTTTTTTTCAACCTCTATAGCTATAAAGACAAAACAGAGTGAACTCATACCACCAAAGTCTGCACACTGCCAGAGACCACCAAAGAGTCCCATTTTAAGCTATCTCTTGCTTTTTAAAAATGCATAAATTTTACATTATACCCCACAACAGTTCCATTTTAATCTAAAAAATAGTGAGATTTGGGCTGGGCGCCATGGCTCATGCCTATAATCCCAGCACTTTGGGAGGCCGAGGCAGGAGGATCACGATGAGGTCAAGAGATTGAGACCATCCTGGCCAACATGGTGAAACCCTGTCTCTACTAAAAATACAAAAATTAGGGGCTGGGCGCGGTGGCTCACGCCTGTAATCCCAGCACTTTGGGAGGCCAAGGCGGGTGGATCACCTGAGGTAGGGAGTTCGAGACCAGCCTGGCCAACATGGAGAAACCCTGTCTCTACTAAAAATACAAAAAAATTAGCCGGGCATGGTGGCGCATGCCTGTAATCTCAGCTACTCAGGAGGCTGAGGCAGGAGAATCACTTGAACCCAGGAGGCGGAGGTTGTGGTGAGCCAAGATCACGCCATTGCACTCCAGCCTGGACAACAAGAGTGAAACTCGGTCTCAAAAAATAATAATAATAATAATGATAATTAGCTGGCCGTGGTGGCACATGCCTGTAGTCCCAGCTACTCGGGAGGCTGAGGCAGGAGAATCGCTTGAACCCAGGAGACAGGTTGCAGTGAGCCGAGATCGCGCCACTGCACTCCAGCCTGGCGACAGAGCAAGACGCCGTCTAAATAAAATAAAATAAATAAATAAAAGTGAGATTTGCCAAAGAAACTTCCAGTCAAAGCAATTTTCCAGGATAAAATGCCATGGTAACATACCTAAATTTGGAAAATTTGGGCATAAAGTTTTGCATCCTGCTAAAAATGTAAATAACTCAGAGAAGGGCTGTTTTTTTAAGATATGATCAGGGGTTTTGTTTGCTTGTTTTTGTTCTTCTTGATATGAATGTGGTTGGAAGATATTACATATTCTTAAAGTGTAAACAAGAATATAAATTTTCAAGTAGAAAATTATATGTCTAATTTTCTTCTAATACTATAAAAAAGTAGTGACATCTATAAATCATAGACTCATGTTTATCATAACCATTAAAAATCTAAAACTGTAATATGTTAGCATTAGGGGAAGCTGGATATAGAGTATATAGGAACTATTTTTGCTATCTTTACGAATGTTCTATTAACCTAAAATTGTTGCAAAATACAAAGTTTTTTTCTCAATCCTCTATATTTTTAAAGTCCCCATAGAACCTATGGATTGTTTTTCCCTAGATATGGAAAATCCCTGTATTTGTTCCTCTTGTTATCCATTTTTCAGTTCCCTTTCTAATGAGTTTGTTCTCCTTATAATTTTCTTGTATCTCTGACCCTTCAATTTGACTTCATTTTGTGTTCAAGCCAGGAAAACCTACCAATTTGAACTTGAAAGAGACAGAACTCACTTAGCACAATTTTCATTCTTTACGTTGTCGTTGTACCACGTTAAAATGTTTTCCCTTCAAATAATTATATGGCATAGCACTTTGAAATATGACCATTTGCGGAAACCCAATTTCAGAAAATCAAACACAGCTCACGAAGGTGCTGACTGGATAACAAATTCAATCCAGGATCATAGATGCCTCTAAAGAGATAGTTGCCAGATGTTCTTTTGGATATGGGAGAAGATAAAGAATTAGGAAAGAAGAGGCAAAGGAGAGAACAATCATGAATTAAGCAGGGACTTTTTAGGGGAAAAACTAGAAGGGGAATTTTTAATTCCAAATAATTTCCTATCTGTCAAACTGGCCAACTGATATATGTAAGTCTTAACTTAAATATCACCACCTAAGCCAAAGGAATGTTGTGAGACATATTTTAAAATATTTGTCTGTCATACAGCACACAAAACAACCTTTTAGCATTCAGCTTTGAACTGAAAAAGTTCTAGTAAGTTGTGTATTTTTTTTTATCAATCTCAAGGTTCCCAAAATGATATCTTTACTACATCTCCATTTTATTTACTCAAATAGATGATATCTTCTTTGTCTTTTCCCTTTTTCCCTTACTCCTCCCCTGCCCTCCCCACAACCCCAGCACCCCATCTCCTGAGACATAAGAGGGATAAAGGATCCTCAAGTATCTACATATTAACCATGTACTGGGTATTGAAGAGTTACTTTTACTTTCTTGTTTAACTCTGTTTTCCTCAAGTCTCTTATTTCTTCCAATCTCACCTACCACTGTCTACAAACAGCCATGAAAACGTACAGAAAAAAAACAGGCCTCGGCAGACAGATGTCCTGAATATTAAGCTGGAGCTGTTTCCATGCTCCAACCAGGCAACTGTGAGCTAGAACCTTTTCTGTGTCAGACTGCACACTACAGGAGGCCAACTTCCAACTCACGAAACCTCACCTCGTTGCCCTCTTCAACCAGTCCGGCCTGCAGAGACCCATACTTGTCTAAGCGCTGGGGCATTTATCCTTGCCAAAGCCTTTCTCAAAGCTTTCATACAAGGTCTTTCAGGACACAGTGGCCCCATGGGTGATAGATGTGCCCATCAATTCTCATATTTACTAGTCTTTTAGTTACACACAGACCAGCTTCCTTGGCATCCTCTTGCTGTCCTCTCTGCAGAAACTTTCAGCCACCCAATCCATCATTACTGGCACTGGCTCACCCAGTTTCATCGTTCAATGGAAGTTGTCATCTGTTAACATTATTGAAGTCAGGGACAGTGTGACCACCACACAGTTGTAAGCTGGAGGTGCCAAGTTTCACTCAAGAGACATGAAGGATGCTATGATTTACAGCACTTCTAATGAGCTGGGGATTTCTAGACCTATAGGCACCTGCTGCTTTTTGTAGCCTCTGCCAGCTCCACCACCACACCCTGGAGTATTGGACAGCACCACCTAACCCCCTTAAGAAAATTTATGGTTAAGCTATATTGAAAATCTCTCTCTGCCATCCACCTTCATTAAAAAGCAACACTAACACTCAAAGTCCATTGGGATATGTAAGAGAAGGGGTCTTGCCTTTGCTTTTTCTTCTTTCTCTCTGTGGCTTCTCTGAAAAGGAAAGAGACTCCCAACCAGCTCCATAGTGACATAAAATCAGGAGGCAATTTTATTTATTTCCTATCTACATCCTACACTCTTCTATAAAAGATTTAGAACAAAGGGTCAAAAGGCTACAGGTGCTGTCTATTATGAGAGAGGATTTATGCTGTTGCATTTTAGTCACTTGATGTTCCTTTCCCTCCAGGAATGTGATTTGTCTTCAGTTGCAACTTGGAGCAGAGCAAAACAATCTCAGTGATTCCCAAACCAGGTAGACCTGTGCACACCACTTGGTCTCCCTATGATTCATTCTATGAGATGTCACTGAGCATTAAACACTCAATCCCATAATGTAACGGAATCACAGAAACTAGGCTGACCCAAGTGGTACCTTAGTTCCCTTATGTTCCATCACTCTCCCACCCTTATCTCCCCTCACCTTTCTTACTACGCAACTAATCTGCTCAACTTGAGGCATAAGCCATTCACTTTGCCCAAGTTCTTCTTCTACACAAACCATGCTCATTGCTGAATATGGTCTGAAAGCTTATGCTCCCCAAAATTCATATGTTGAAACTTAGTCCCCAGTGCAGTGGTAATGGGAGGTGGGGCCGCTAGGAGGTGAATATGGTTAGTGCCTGGTTATTTGTTCCTTCCATATCTCATGTTGAAATATGATCTCCAATGTTGGAGATGGGGCCTAGTGGGAGGTGTCTGGGTCATGGGGACAGATCCCTCATGAATGGCCTGGTGTCCTCCCCATGGTAATGAGTTCACATGAGATCTGATTGTTGAAAAGAGTCTGGGACCTCCCCACTCTCTCTCCTTCTCCCTCTCTGTTGTTCCTTATCTCACCACGTGATGCACCTGCTCTCCCTTCACCTTCTGCATGACTGGAAGTTTCCAGAGGCCTCACCAGAAGCAGATGCTGGTGCCATGCTTCTTTGTACAGCCTGCAGAACTGTGAGCCAGGTCAATCCTCTTTTCCTTATAAATTACCCAGTCTCAGGCATTTTTTACAGCAACATAAAATGGACTAATACAGTGCCCTTATAAAAGGGTCTAAGAGAGCTTGTTTGCCCCTTTGGGCCATGTGAGAACACATAAAAGGTATCATTGATGAGAAACAGGCCCTTACCAGACACCAAACCTGCTGGTGCCTTGATCTTGAACTTCCCATCATCTAGAACTGTAAAGCAATAAATTTCTGTGTTGACTATAATTTACCCAGCCTAACGTATTTTATTATAGTACCCCAACAGGACTGGGAAACTCATTCAAATCCCAGAGTCACCAACTTGCTTCTTTATAAAGGCAGCTTCATACTTTACTCAGAACAGAAACTGAGAGAAAATCCAATATTCTCCATAAAGCTTTTCCCAGTTAGTCCAGGCCACCACATTGACCTCTTTTTTTATTTTTATTTTTTGACTCTATGAAATTTTGTGGTTGGCAATGTGTAACAAAATGGTTCTACTACAGAAGGTTCTTAATCTGCCACCACTCGCATGGAAGAGTTATGCAAGGAGCGTACCTACTTCTGATTTTAACCTCCCTGCCCTCTGATAGTTATTTCAATATAGAGCAGAAACACTCCACTCTTTAAAGCTGGGATCTGCTTTATTATTATGCAAGACACTCAAGATACAAAACCAAATGTAAATGATACAAGTTACCAATGTATCATCTTGTGTTATTTATGTTCACATATAAGTTCACACCAATTTATAATTGCTTCTAGTGCCCCTTCCAAGATCACCCTTTTCCCCAATATATGTTCAACTGTGTGCCATGTTATTTATTCCAGCTTCATTTAGTCCCTGAAGACAGATTTTCAACATGTTTTAATCCTAAGCCTCCCTACCTAGGTCCTATTAAAATTGTGTTCTTCAGAAACAGTTGTGGTGGCATCCCTATATACTGATCATAGAACTACCTGAAATTACTGCATCTTTTGGCTGGGCGTGGTGGCTCATGCCTATATTCCTAGCACTTTGAAAGGCCAAGGTGGGCGGGTCACAAGATCAAGAGATTGAGATCATCCCAGCCAACGTGATGAAACCCCATCTCTAATAAAAATATAAAAGCTAGCTGGGCCTGGTGGCGTGCACCTGTAGTCCCAGCTACTTGGGAGGCTGAGGCGGGAGATTCACTTGAACCTAGGTGGCAGAGGTTGCAGTGAGCCGAGATCGTGCCACTGAACTCCAGCCTGGCGACAGTGTGAGACTCCCTCTCAAAACAAAACACACACACACACACACACACACACACATACACACACATGCATCTCTCCTGGTTCATACTCAAGCAAGCCTAGTACATCATCCTTTCTGACCCCACAATTTCTAGAAAAGCTCTAGATTCCTTTAGAACCCTGGCTAACCTAGATACAACCATATAACTATATGGCACTAAGTTGATGTTCCCATTTCTAGACGAAAACATCAAAACATATCCTACTACATTAGTATGCTAACATTGCAATTTTGAGAACTTTAGAACTCTGACTCTGACCACATTAAAGTGACTTTCAATTCACATATATTTATGATACAGAATATATGAAGGTTTTGGTTTTTTGTTTTGATTTTGTTTTTTAAAGAAAAGGTCTCACTCTGTTGCCCAGGCTGGAGTGCAGGGGCTCAATCACAGCTCACTGCTGCCTTGACTTTCCAAGCTCAGATGATTCTCTCACCTCAGCCTCCCAAGTAGCTGGGGCTACAGGCACACACCACCATACCGGGCTAATTTTTTGTACTTTTTGTAGAGACAGGATTTTACCACGTTGCCCAGGCTGGTCTCGAGCTCCTGAGCTCAAGTGATCCACCTGCCTGGGCCTCCCAAACTGCTGGGATTACAGGTATGAGCCACTGAGCCTGAAAAGGGTTTTTTGATACTATCATACAATTTAGCCCTCGATTATAAAGTGATATATCTTTCTCTGTTTTACTTATTTATGTCTTATCTGAAAAATTTTTCAAAGCAGAAATCACCCGTCTTCTGCGTCGCTCACGCTGGGAGCTGTAGACTGGAGCTGTTCCTATTCGGCCAGGTTTCTTTCTCCTTTAGCATCTTGGTAATTTGATTCCATATTGACATGTTAAACAATAGTATACCATCAGGTTTAAGAAATACAGTACTATAAGGGAAAAGTTTAACTAAACTTAGTTGAAATTTTTTTTCAGTAAAGAGCTAGATACTAATATTTTAGGCTTCGCAGTCTAGATAGCTCCTCTTGCAATTACTTAATTTTGCCACTGTAGCATGAAAGCAGCTATAAACAATACATAAACAAATGATTATGTCTGTGTTCCAGTAAAACTTTATTTACAAAAACAGATGGCAAACTGGACTAGGCCTGCAGGCTATAGTTTGCCAACCTCAAACTTAAACTATGAAAACATCAAAAGGGACAAATACTACCACCCCCCACCAGTCACCCTTTTTATTCAAACTCAACAAGCAGTTTTTGATTGCTCGTTACATTGAAATGAAAAGTGGTAGGATATATGCAATGAAGATCTCTGTCAAATAAAATGGTACATGTGTACCCTGTTAGGGCTCACTTCCAACATCCCTGAGGATTTTATTTCAAAAATAATCACAGCTAAACCTAAAGAGGCAATTGTATGCTATTATTGACAATTTTCAGCCATTTTTGCTTTTCATCTGAGTCCAAATAAATCAATTTCTAAGTAAATGTCTACTCATTAAAAATTAACATATGAATCTGGCAGAGCCATTGATTTCCGGCAGTTGAAATTCATTACTCTAGAATGCATATCCATGAATGTCTTCCTCCTTTCCTCCCATTCCTGGTTACCTCTCAAGTGCTTATATTAAATATAAATTAATGCAAAACAATTATTTCTTTTCATGTCAATTTGGAAATTCTATAAAACAAGATGAACTGACTCATCAAATATTTCCACAGTTAAGATAATAGTGAAAATGCCCTATGTAATAAAATGAGGACAACCTATCTAAATTACAAAGTCTAACTTTCCATCTAAAATAATGCAATATGTTTCATATTATCTACATTCCTATGATTCATAACCCTCATAAAAGTACAATATTAAATGAAACTGAATAAACACTGGGAGATTAAAGCAAATCTGTCTTGAATAATCAGTTGACTCTAATGGACATGTGAGTTCCATTAGGAAACATAATACAAAAAACTATATACAAATGTTAAGAGAAAAATAACTTGACAACAAAAGGACTTATCACCCCAAATTAATTTCTATGTTTTGGGATATAAATAAATGATTCTAATCAAGGTATAAAACTAAAATGTTCTACGCTTAGAGTTAATCCTGAAAAGAATACGGTATAAATCATAATAAAGCTAAAACATTGTTTATCTTCTACAGAATAGTGACATGGGAGACTTTACTCATTGCAACCACATTTTTCTCAGTAAAAAGTTACTGGATGTCACAGATTAGTCAGCCTTTCTATTTCCCACAGAAATAAGCTATCTGCTAATTCCTATGTTATATGCTACCTACTTCTAACACCTTTGCTTGCTGACCTTACAGAGTTTTCAGAAAATGAAACCAGAATTAAAAGTCAATTGACCTATTGAGGTAGGAAACAAAGGTTGTTTAATATGATTCAGTTTAAAAAATAAAGTGCCCCTCCCCTCACCCAAAAATAGGTGAAGAGTGACTATCTCCAGGAAGTTGAGATTAAGAGCAATTTTTATTTTCTTTCTATTTTTCTCCATTTTTCAAAATTTCTACATGATAATGACTCACTTTTAAAAATCAGAAGAAAACAACAGTTTAAAGTCTTACTAAATTAATCATAATTTGCAATGATTATTTGAAACCCCTATGGTTTTGGTTTATGTGTAGTTTTTACATAATAAAATTAGTACTATAACATATACATTAAAATTTGTCCCAACCTACAGAAATTGTTCCTCTCTAAGTTAATACAAACTTGAGCTTCGCAGGATTCCTCCTGAGTTGAGAGCAAAGTTCTTTATATAGTTCAAGTACAGTGTGGAAGTAACACCAGTTAGGAAACCATGCAACACACCATCTGCCATATAATTAAAGTAGCATGCTTTTTTAAGGACATTTAAAAAATTGTGCTCCATGGAAATCACTAGGAGAAGCCACTGTGAATGGATGGCAGGTTTCAGTAACACTGTAGAAACCCAAGGTTGAGTTCAGCAAGAGGGTAGTTGAATGTGTGGAAGGGGAATATATTGCCAGAATTGGAACATGGATGGCTTTTTATTTCGTATTTAAGAAGTCTCACCAAAGTGAGATAAAACTCAGTACATTTGTACCTTATTTATACTTGGCCTCAATTTTATTTATAAGTAAATAATGCACTAGAATATACTGAAAATATGTTGTGTAATTTTGCAAGGGTGGTAGACTTAGTAAAAGATAGTTTTAAAAAGAGTGAAAACTGGGAGGAAAGAACTTTGTGGAAAGGACCAACACTTAAGTGGAAAGAAAGGTACAAATACACAGAGAAAGTAAAAGAAATGTGTGACAAATTAGCCTCTCATTTAAAAAAAAAAAAAAAAAAGAACAAGAATTAAATCTCTACTTGTAACAAGCTGCTGTGTCCAGGTACTCAGAAGCAATTTTTGGATCTCACCATTTCAAGCTCTGTCTGAGATTTGGACTTACTCTGCTCAAGCCACCATCCCCTTCTCTGCCACCTCCCCCAACCAAACCTGTTCTCTGGACAATCTGCACTTGGACTTTAACCTCTTCCTGAGAACACTAGATTTCTCCTCCCTCTCCAGGAGCATTGTTCTAGATTCTCTCACCTTCACAACTCCCTATGAACCTCCACCTGATTCTGGGTCTCCTCTTCAGCTTCTGGTTCTCCGCTATGGTCCTGCCTGAGAAAGACACAAAATTACGCAGCCTTGCCCTTGACAATCCTTGCCACGTTGATGGCAAGGCTGCATGATTTTGTAACTGCATGAAGTGGCTAGCTCCCCTTTCACTTCTCCCTACCACTAGACCAGCTCCTAACACAGGACTTCACCTACCCAGTAGAGACAGCTGTTTACAAGTATATTTGCTTCCACTCATTAGATTCCAGAGCCTCCTTGTCATCCCTGCCTCCAATTTCAGAGGAATATCTGAACTGTCCTGAAACTAAAGTCTTTCTCCAACATTACACATTTCTTTAACTTTCTCTGTGTGTTTATACCTTTCTTTCCATTTAAATGTTGGGCCTTTCCATGAAATTCTTTCCTCCCAGTTTTCACTGTTTTTAAAACCATCTTTTACTAGGTCTACCACCCTTGCAAGAATCAGCCTTTCTCAATTCCCAGCTCCTTCAATGAATGATCTGTCACTACCACTTTCATCTTGGACTCCCTTCCCTTCCCACTTAACTGCTCAGATCTGGGCAGCCAATATATCCTCTCTTGGAAATCATTGGTGTCCTATTTTTACCAGATTCACTTTTTGTCAGATTTACCAAATTCTCTCCTCATTCCTCACCTTTCTTGATCTCTCTAGATCATTGGATACTGATGATGACATATTCATCCCTGTACCAACCCCGTATTATCTCCTTTCTCTGTCTGTTTATGCAAATGACCTCTTTTCTTCCTCTCAAATAACTGGTGGCATCATTTATTGCTTTTCTGTTTCTCCATGCCCAAGGTCATAGGCATTGTATAGATTCGCCTCAAATCAAATGTTGTATTTCTGACTATGCACGTAATATTTCCACTTGGATGTTCCATCATCATAATCTCAAACTCAACATACCTTAAGACAGAACTCGTCTTTACCATTATCTGCCTATCCCCAAAGCTGTAATGCAGGCCCACTTATCTTCCTGATTAGAAACTTTGAGGTTATCTGGCTTCTTCTATCCTTCACTGAATCTGCACTGAATACTTTTGCTTCTTCTCTGAGATGTCTGCCTTCCTTCCTATTCCCCTGGCCACAAGTCTTGCCCAGAACTTCTTCACTTAAGACCCATATTGCTAAAACCACCACCTCAATTCTCATCACCTTCCGGTTCAGCTGGTGTGCTATTGCAGATTAACCTTTCTAAAATAATGTTAAAACATTGCAAACAACTAAAACCATAATTTATACTGTTTTACATAAACAGAGGTTGGTTTCTCTCACATAACAGGAAGTCCAGAGGTAGACAGCTGTTGGTGTGGGTTTAGCAGTTCAGCAGTATCAGAAACAATAACTCTTTGCCTTTTCCTCATAACAGCAAGGTTGCTGTATATTTACAGACCTTGCATCTTCATTCAAGGCAAGGAGGAGAGGAAAAGGAGGTGCCAACATTTTATCAAAGAACAAAAACATTTCCAGAAATGCCATCAGCAGACTTCAGCTTGAAGCCAGAACACGATCACAGAGCTGCCCTAGCTCCAAAGGAGACTGGAAAGGCGGAGGATAGAATCATCATGAATGGGTTAGACCAATCATGATTCATCACTTGCAGATAGGCACAAAATTGAGGTTCACTTATCAAGGAAGGGGGGATACCCAACTTTATTTTTTTGTTTCTCTTGCATACCGATTTTTGTCACCTGGTCTCCTCTTATTGTCCAAAACACATGCCATGCTCAACTCCATCATCAACCTTGTTACCTTTGCTCTCTTCACCTAGAATATTCTCTCCTCCACTTACCAGTCCTATTTATGTTTCATGGCTATGTTCGTATCCGACCTATTCAATGACACATTCTAGTCCACAATGATTTCTTCCTTGAATGAACACTTCATTCATTAATTTATCCATATTCAGTATTTACTTCCAGGAGATTCCTATCATGAGTACTACACAGTTGAACATTTAATTGTTCTTTGTTTCCTCTGATTTGGTTTTATTTCTCCACAAACACTGTAACCTACATGAAGACTTGAACCATGCCTCAGATTTCATTTGTATGCCTCAGTTCCTTACACAGTGCTGAAAACATGACATGTGCTTAGTAAATTACTGACTGAAAAATTCTATAATTACCTAGAAATAACAATATGTGGATTACTGAGTGTAAAACAAACAAACAAAAAAAACACTGTGGTTGGAACTTAGAAAACAGAACATTGTCTACTTATTTCGGTCAAAATATACTCTGTGAGACAAGAAAATAACAACGATTATATTTGTACTTCAGTGGCAAAGGTAGCAAAATATAATCCACTTCTGAGAAAGCTAAAAAGAGCAGCAGAGCTAAGTAAAATTCAAGATTGTAAAACAGAGAAGCAGTTTTCAGACATTTCAAACCGAAGGGTTAGTCTCCCAAGCCATTCCTGCAATGTTAGGCAGAAAACAGTCAAGTGATTTATTTTAGAGAGATGCTGATCTATATGAGGATTAAGAGATCTCAGGCTAACACTGCTGGCAGCCACAGAGCAGCTTTGGGAGTGTACTAAGAAGATTTCAAACTGGGAGCAACTTATGCAAAAGACACAATTCCCCCAACCCCCCATTGGCCAGGGCTTTAAACAGTCCTTGTGATTCGCTTGTTGCCCTTTCTTTGGCCTATTTACTGAGTAGACACAATCAGTCCCTCTCTATTCACATAGTCCTTTGGTTCACATATTTGGGTAAATGTATTGTTTCATCTATCAGTTTCTACATGAAACTCTAGCAGAAGACCAATTGAAGGCACACTTCAATCCATGAATCTCAGGCATTTCTTCTTAGCCAACCTAAAATGTATGGGACCATGTTTTCTCCAATTAGAAAATGTGCAACTTCACCACTCAGCTCACAGAGCCTGTAGAATGGAAAGCTTTGTAGTGTGTTCCTCATTCCTCCTGGGGCCAAATGAAGAGAACCTTTCAGAAGCTGGAAGAAGAAAGCAATTCCCAGGGAAGCTCATAAGCCTCCTCAGATCCTCCTCTAGAACGGAAATTCCACCCACCAAGGAGAAGCAGTTTGGACCCACTGCACCATTGCTGACAGCTGGGTTCCTCTCTGCCTCTCCTCCCCTATCTCCACCAGGAGAAAGAAGACCCAATGATAGGTCTTGGGGAAAAGCTTTTCAAAAAGCATCTTTTTTCTATCTTCCTTTCTCTCAACACCACATGACAGTCATGATAGTCCTAGGATGGCTGCAACCTCAAAAAAAGCAAAACCTGCAAATAACCCCTGTGAGACCTCTGTCCTGACTGTCCAAAACATGAAGCCCAAGAGCCAGTTTTTCAAATGCACTAATGTCCACGGGATGAAAATCTTGTCCTGTTTGCCTATATTTTCCCTTACCCTCCTCAACTCCTCGTCTATGCTGAGAATATCAGCATGCTCTATGATTTCCATAACAAAGTAAGATTCAGAAAAAGAAGTATAACTAGAAGAAATATTGTTGCAACCATTCTACTTTTGGATTTGGTATCAAGTCGTATTTAAGACATAATTTATTGCCCTACTTCGGACAAAATGTCCAAATCTGATCTATTCCCTCTCCCTAACTCCAATCTCAATGTCACTCCCATATTTTTCATGTAGGTTAAGACATATGTTTGCCCCATTCTAGCAAATAACATGTTCTCCATTTCAATTATCTTTTCATATGGTACCATACATTTTCTAGAACATAGCAGCTGAAAAAGGAATATTGACCAATCTTGCAGAGAACTATCTCATCTAGCTTAACATCTCTAGTTCTCAGCAGCTACCTGACTCATAGATGTTCAGTGAGCCAGTCAATGAGTGATGTGTTTGCACACTTAAATGGCTACTCTTCCTAATGTAATAAAAGCTCTGACAAATTTTCTGAAAGTGCTATATTGTGACCCTCTAAATTGATCTAAGGAAACAAAAATAATCAGTTAACTATAACAAGAATGATCAGAAACCTGAGAATCTCCAAGAAGGAGGCTCAAGAAGTGTTCAACTCCAATAAAACAAAAATAGAAGTCCTTTCTCCTTCATGGGACTTACAAAATAAAAAACACAGTATACACATGGGTATACCAAGAGACAGGAAAATATTTCATTATTACAGTAACAAACAAATCCTAAGAAGTAATTATGCATCAGTTCTACAGGGTGATTTGGTAGAAAATTATGTGGATAACTACAGGAATAAGATTTCAACATAACATCAAGAAGGCTCCTAAAACGTCTACAGGTATCAAAAATGTATAATCCATGCTGCTTGGCATAAGCTATGGGCAGATAGATCACTAGAGTTTAGAATAATGTTTTCCATGTTGAATCTAGAAAAACTATATTGCAGGTCCCAAAACAACCATGCCAACTACTCT
This sequence comes from Homo sapiens, assembly GCF_000001405.40. NCBI lineage: Eukaryota > Metazoa > Chordata > Mammalia > Primates > Hominidae > Homo > Homo sapiens. The sequence goes on along the minus strand of NC_000002.12, from coordinate 198,039,199 downwards.
TCTTGAGAATGAGAAACTATGTCACTTTGACTATGAACCCTGTTCAATACCAGCTCCTTCCTTAGTCTGCTACATCCTGACATGTTTACCCTCCACAAAAATGTATAAAGAACCTGTCAAAATGAAGCAGACAGGGTTTGTTTTTAAGCAGTCATTCAATTACCACCCTAATGTAAGGGCTTTTAGTATTTCAAAAAAGCAATATTGCACGGGGTGGAAATACCTTTTCATATTCAAATACCAGCTTAATGTGTAGTTTAACAAATTACTATCTTACAGCTCTGTTTCTGGTATTTGTGAAAAAACACGAGATAAAAAATTGAGTGAACTCTTTTTTTCTTTTTTTTTTTTTTTTGACCTTTAATGAAAGGATCAAGACAGTATTTTCCCTTTTTGTTCTGTTTGTATATAACAAAAGCATTTCTTTGCTTAACTGCTTTTATAAACTACAGACCTCTGTACAAACACAGTCTTAATTAAACCTGAGAAGTGATTGTTGTATTCTACATTTCAAAAGGAAAAACTGGTCTGCAATAGAATAACTGTTTTGTTTATGCAGCACATACAAGTACAGATGCTAAAAATTCTTAAATAACAACATAACCTTAACCTTGAATTATAGGCTGCCATGGGACCAAGCCTAAGAGAACATAGATAGAAATCAAATATTATTTATTACACAATATTTTAAGAACTTTTACTACAAAATAACACTGAAAAAATACACTAGTAGTAAACTTTGTTCCCAGCCATGAACTATGTATATATATATGGACCACTCCCAGGGAGAAATTAGATTTTTAACTCTAATTTTCTTTAACAAGGTATTAAGCAATCCCACAGACTTACAATAAAGTTGAAAAAACACAAAAGCAGTGTGTCAAGAATGCCAAAGGGTTCTGAAGACAACTGAGCCTGGCTTGAGGAAATATGGGCAAAATCTATGTGGAATATTTTAAAACATGCCACAAGGGGTATGTGTGTGTGTGTGTACACACTTTGCTTTGTGAAGTCTTCTCTTTAATTCTCTCTCTCTCTAGAACAAAAGCCCTTTTCTGACTCTTACAAGGTTTATGCTTAGTCACTTAATCAAAAAATTCAGTAAAAGCAGAAAATAATAAAAATTGGCATACATATACCTCACATGTTTTATTTAAATGTAAGGCTTTTGAGTATGGCTCCACTAATTCAAGTTCTCTGCTTGAACTCTTTCTTGAAAAATGATACATTTCAGTTTCTTGAAAATGCATCAATAACTTAAAAGATACTTACAAAGTAAGTTGTATTAGAAATTCTTTTTTATATTTTTCCCAAATCTTTCATAGTTGTCTTACCCTCACCTTATTTAATAACACTTTCAGCAATTCTTTTCTAGAGTCTTTCCAAAACTTTCAGTTTATTTTTCAAAGAAACAATAACTCTTTATATTTACACTCAAAAGTCACGGGATTATGTAATATTTAATTAAGTTATGTAACTGTAATTACAAGTACAAATAGAATAAAACCGTTTTGGAAAAAATCTCAATTGACTCTTTGTAAGCACAGAACTCAACTTGATAGAGAGTATTTAAGATAGGTGCCTATTATCCTCGAATTTTATAAAGAGAATGCTGAGTGTCAGTTAAGTGGATGTTGAAGGAAGCTTCTCCTATAATCTCTAAAGCAATGTTTTCTAAAGCCTTTCCCAGGAATAACTAATTTCAAGAGTGCGATGGAAAAAAGGACTTGGGGTCAACTAAGTTTGGGAAATGCAAGGTCGAACAAAACTAAGCAGCTTTCCTTTATTGCAGGACATTAACCTCTAAATAGCTAACATGCATTTTTAATTTCCAAGATGGCACTATAGTATGTAATGTTCTCCCAGTGTATTTCATCAAGACTGTACATTTATCCAGTATTTTATCAGAAAGGCAATACTCCAGAAGCAATCACTATAAGTACTTCTATTATCCTGATTTTTATTAACACCTAAGACTTTAATAATCAGTATAATGTATGCTAGCAATGGATTTTAATTGGTAAAACTAGTGGCTTATTAATATGAAGAATTTAGAAATGGACTCTCTCGAGTAAAATTAAAGACAATCAAGAGTATGTGGAGTAGCAAAAATATTTTAGAGATATTCTCCACTCTAGTGTAATGGAGGATAAGGATCCAGAGAGCCTCTCCCCCAGAGACAAACCTGAGGTTTTTTCCTAAATGGCCCAGTGTCCACCTGTTGATTTAAGAAGATTTGGCATTGCCCACTGGATTGATAAGGGTAACAGGATCCAGCCTCTGGGATGTTGCCCTGTCTGCCTTGGAAGAACCTTTATGCAAGGTAGCAGAACTGGGACTTCCTAACAAGTTGTATAACGAGCTGTAAAAAAATGTTTTTTACTTTGCTTGCTGTTAAGTATTTATGTAATCAATGGTCTCTGTGTGTAGCAGAATTTTGTCTGGCTTGCTTTCATTATGGACTAGTAGCAAAGTTTTGTGTAGTGCCTAACACTGACTCAGCTCAAACCTCTTTTGATGTATGAACCATGGAGGAAAAAACCACTAAGGGCTATGAATGACCAAATCAGCTTAGGTCAATTCTCAACACCTGTCTTCAAGGCAGAAGATGAAATTATATGTCCATCCATTCTATGATATAGAAGGAACCCCAAAAGTCTCATTTGCCCCCAATAGACTCTCATTTATCTGCTTCCCAAGCAGATAGTTCCCTCTAACTTATCCAGATTTTATCAATAGCATGTTTGAAAATGCACTTATGTTAGCTGGCAATGAAAAATGATTCTAGCAAACTTCTCTAGCATCTCAACTTAATTCAAACTAATAGAAAATTAGCTAAGTGTTTCCTTGGAATGTGTGAAGAATCTAAACAGAGATGAGGTAAGATATTACTTCAGTAGTGGAAAAGCAGCATATTTTGTGGTCTTAGATATTCACACACATGGTACAATGGGAAGGGGAAGCCCAGCTTAAGAACAGATTTGACCAAGGCAATTGTGTGCTAAAAGCTGTGCACTGAATGGATAGGGAGGAGTCAGAAAGAACAAATCTATGTTATTAAAAAAGAGAATTCATTGATGATTCTTGCCTCAAACAACCATTACTATGGTAGTTAACAAATGATGATTTTCAATCAATCATACTACATACATTTTTTATTTTTGAGACAGAGTCTGGCTCTGTTGCCCAGGCTGGAGTACAGTGGCACAATCTTGGCTCACTGCAACCTCTACCTACTGGGTTCAAGGGATTCTCCTTGCCTCTGCCTCCTGAGTAGCTGGGACTACAGGTGCACACCCCATGCCCGGCTAATTTTTTTGTATTTTTAGTAGAGATGGGGTTTCGCCATGTTGGCCAGGCTGGTCTCAAACTCCTGACCTCAGGTGATCTGCCCGCCTTGGCCTCCCAAAGTGCTGGGATTACAGGCGTGAGCCACCGCATCCAGCCATACCACACACATTTATTTGTTGGAATTCTATTGTAATGAATAACTAACTTTCCATTTTACATAGTTGCTCATCTATTTGTTCTTATCAGTATGGACTCATGGATTCTTATTCCATCTGTTACTACCATTTATTTTTATGGTCACATTGTCCTGTATTTGGCTAGTAGGAGCCCCTTGGAGCTGGCTCGTGTGTCCTTTTGACATGTCCCCATCATTCTTTGCTCACTCTCTTACTTTCAAATGGAAAAAAACCAAAAACAAACAAACAAACAAAAACAAAAAACAACACCTGTTCCAGGCTTATCTTGTTCTTTTCCTGCCCCAGCAAGGAAGAAGACTTGGTTGATTTTTGTTGGTGAATAGTATTTAGAAACCAAGATAATGGTACTACTTATGCTAATTGCTACTGAATTATCATTGCTTCTTTATCCTGTCAGAGGATACAGCTAGGCAATTAGATTGATCTACATAGCTATAAAAACCACGAATTCATACAGTTATTGCTAATCTTAATCCAACAGCACATGGGTTCACTCTAGCATTCTACCTTTTCATATCTATAATTCCTTTCTTCTTCAACAATGAGAAAACTGACCGTCATTAACACTAATAGATATATTTATTTTCATAGTCTTGGTGTGTCTCCCACAAGATAGTTATTAATTACAGGGGACAAAGAGTAATTTTACAGTGCAGAAATATGGCAGATACCACATTAATTAAGTGAACACAAGTAAGGGCAGAAATAGATACCATGACGAGACATGAAAAAGGACACAACATTCTTTCAGTGGTGTTCTTGCCAAAAACATATAATCTGAATCTAATCATTAAACAACATCAGATTAACCCAAAATAACTGGCCTGTACACTTCAAAAATGTCAAGGTCATGAAAAACAACGAAATACCGAAGAACTGATCTAAGTTAAAAGAGACTTTAAAAATGACAGCACAACACAACATGTGATCCTGGATTGATTTCCTAGACCACAAAAATTGGTTTTTGCCCTTTGTTAGAGATGACATTGATGAGACAATCAGCAGAATCTGAATGAAGTCTATTAATGTTAATTTTTAGGTTTTGATAATTGTATTGTGGTAATAATACAAGAGAATGTCCTTGTTTTTCAAAATGCACACTGAGGTATAAGGGGACAGGAAGTCTGTAACTTACTTGCAAACATTAAAAACAAAAACTTTTTTTATGGCTGCATAGTATTTCATGGTGTATATGTGCCACATTTCCTTCATCCAGTCTATCATTGTTGGACATTTGGGTTGGTTCCAGGTCTTTGTTATTGTGAATAGTGCCGCAGTAAACATACGTGTGCAAGTGTCTTTATAGCAGCATGATTTATAATCCTTTGGGTATATACCCAGTAATGGGATGGCTGGGTCAAATGGTATTTCTAGTTCTAGATCCCTGAGTTCATGTCCTTTGTAGGGACATAGATGAAGTTGGAAACCATCATTCTCAGCAAACTATCGCAAAGACAAAAAACCAAACATCGCATGTTCTCACTCATAGGTGGGAACTGAACAATGAGAACACTTGGACACAGGAAGGGGGACATCACACACCGGGGCCTGTTGTGGGGTGAGGGGAGGGGGAGGGATAGCTTTAGGAGATATACCTAACGTAAATGACGAGTTAATGGGTGCAGGACACCAACATGGTACATGTATACATATGTAACAAACCTGCACGTTGTGCACACGTACCCTAGAACTTAAAGTATAATAATAAGAAAAGAAAAAGCTAATAAAAATCAAATTTTTTAAAATAAAAAAATAAAAACAGAAACGTGTGCACCACATACAGACACACACACACAGAAACACGAGGCAGGACAGGGCAGGCTGCGGTTACCTCCCAGGCAATTCTAATGCACAGTCAGCCAAAGAATATAAAGAAGAGGGCTGGAAACAGAATCTTAGGAAATAGCCAGCTTGAGGGGGTAGAGACTGGAACCCAGAGAAAGAAAGAGGCAGCAGCAATAAATCACGTAAACGGAGAATCAGGAAAGTTAAAGAAAGTTTCCAACAGAAAAGGGGATGGGTGATTTCCAATGTTACACAAAGGTAAACAAGATGAGGTTGGATAAAGGGTTACAGTCAGCAGTTTGGGCTTAAGGGTACTCATTCAACCACATATGTGTTTTGAATTCTTGGATAGTAGGCATGTGAGGAAATACAGAGACTCAGATACCGTTCTCAAGAGGTTTACATTATACTGATCCCAAGAGAAAACGGTACTGGTAAAATCTGTCGCATTTGAGAACACCCAATATCTCCCAATCTCCGTCTTCATGGTACCCTCACATGGAGCACTCTTGATGCCAGTAAGTTCTGGGGTTTGCTGTCTGGGTTCCCTCCAGTGAGGGGGCAATTCTTTGGAAAATGTGGCTCTCCCTGCAATAAGGGATGAAAGGCTTTGTGAGAAGAACCTGCATTTACCAAAGAAACTTCATCTGGCCAAGTTTAATTAAGATAAGGCCTCAGAAAAGTGCTAATGCTGCTCTTGGTATTTTCTGTGTCAAATGCACTGCATAGTCTCAGTGCTTCTCTGATTGCATTTTATCTGTTGTTCAGATTCCAGGTTCAAATTCATCATTAAAATTATTCTTTTGTTCCCATTTATAAGAATCACATTTTACCTGTTCTACAATAAAACACATTTTCAACTTCATTCAGAAGCTGAGAGGAAAGATAAGCCTGCTCTTTCCATGTTACCTGGTGACCCTATTTTTATTTGACTTTATAAAGTTTAGGAAGCTGGGCTAGGGATTCTTGAGCAGCAAATCCAAGTCCCAGTTCTTAGCATTTAAACAGATGCACCAAAGCAAATTCCCAATTTCCTGATGCATTAATTGGGTCAGAGGGAGGGGTGGAATAAACACATGCATTTAACTTTGTTTTCCAGATAATAATAATTAAGATAACAAGTAATATTTTATCTTTTACAAAGCTCTTTGTAGTATGTTCTTATTTGATCTTATAACCTTAAGGTAACCTGAATAAATAAAATTTCAAATCAAAAGCCATTTAAGAAAGTGATTTCCATTTCCAGATTCCTTTATCTCTATAAAACAGCCTGTGATATAAGATTCTAGCACACACTAGATTAAGCACCCAAACCAGGAAATCCATCCATAAACTAGATTTGAGATGTACTGGCCTAAAAAAAATGTTAATTTATGAATAATTTGGTTCACCTGATGCTTAGCAAATTGTTTAATTTAAAAAGTAACAGCAAAGTTATCTGGGTATTTGACTTCTTGCACAAACCTTTTGTCTTCATGAAAGCCAAAGACACACAGTCTTATTTTATCTTTCTGAGGCAATCTCTTGTCACTGATGACAAACAGAAGCTTTAATTAAAATGGCAATTAGGTATTGGAAGGAGTTTTTTTTTTATTATTCTCATTTATTTTGAGCCTGCTTTAGAAATGTTAATGTCAGTGTGTTTGCCTAGTGCAGCCGTATCTCAGAGGAAAACGTCCAAATATTTAAAGGCTGACTTCTTTTGATGTTTAAAGAAACCAGTAGGTTTTCACAGTCTGCTAGCACACAGACAGATTGATTCTTAGAAAATTAGATTTTTGAGAGACATGTGATTAAACCATCATAGAGACCACAAAGAAATTTTAGTCATTATCTTTTCCTTTTTTCCAAAACAGAGAATCAATATTTTATGTTTATCTAGATATACATGCAGAAATAAGCTTTACTTCTATTGAATTTATTGTGGATTTATTCTACATGCCCAACAAATGAAGAATAACAAAAATCTATATGTACCCATCTTACATGACAATGCTATAAGATTTGTGCTCTCAAATTATTTTTGATGCAATAATTATCATTAGTTTTCTAATTGTCACCCAACATATATAGAGGCACAAATTTCATAGTAACAAGTAATATTAAGTCATTTGTGGCACAAATATTTATTGAGAACCCATGAAATAAAAAACATTCAAAGAGCATCCAACTCAATAGGGGGGTGACAAGACATATATATGAATAACAATAATATAAAAACAAAAGTGATGTGTAAGAAGAGAGATTAAAAAAAAAAAAAAAAAAAAGCACTGGCCATTCACGGTGGCTCATACCTGTAACCTCAGCACTGGGGAAGCTAAGATGAGAGAATTGCTTGAGCCCAGGAGGTCAAGGCTGCAGTGAGCTCTGATCACACCACTGCATTCCAGCATGGGTGGCAGAAGGAGACCCTGTCTCAATCAATCAACCAATACTGAACGGTCAATCCATACAATTGATAAATATAAAATCTCACCCCTTCCTTTAATTTTGCTAATATTTCTATAATTATGTAACCACAAAAGTTAGAAAACATTATATATTATATATATATAAAGACACGGGGCCTCTTGCTCTGTTGCCCAGGCTAGAGTGCAGTGTTGTGATCATAGCTCACTATAGCCTCAAACTCTTGGGTTCAAGCAATCCTCACGCCTCTCAGGTAGCTAGGACTACAAGTATTTGCACCCAGCTATTGGCTATTTTTTTTTTTTTTTTTGTAGAGACAAGGTCTCACTATGTTGCCCAGACTGGTGTTGAGCTCCTATGCTCAGGTGATCCTCCTGTCTCCACCTCACAAAGCACTGGGATTACAGGTGTAAATCACTATGCCTGGCCAGGAAATATTTATTTAACATTATATTAGTAAAGCAACTAAGGCATGATGTATGGCATTTTGTTTAAATATGTTTTAGAGCGCTTTATTAAGGAACTGATATTTTAATTAAGCTTATCAATTTTGAACCTTTGAATAAAATGTAAAATGAAGCAAAAAAGGAAATCCTTAGCAGACTCTTGTGCCTTACGAACACAGAAAGTCTGCCTTCTATATTACAACACTCAATAGCTCAGGTGCCTACCATCACCATTCCTCCTGGGTCAAATCAGAGACAATGGAGTAGAAAACATGTCAGTGAGAATTCCGCCTCTGCAGTGTGCTAACTGTAAACTTGGTGAGATTGCTCCACTAAGCTCTCTATGCTGCAGTTTTCTCATTAGCAAAGCAGAATAACAATACATTCACCTCACAGAGCTGTTAAAGAAACTAACAGCATTAATGACATGTAAAGCATTTACACCACTTCAGGCACATAGTGAGTGCCAGAAAATGATAACTACTATGATTATCATCATACTATTGCTAGCATGTGGCTTCTGTACACACACATTCAACTACCCTGCTGGCCTTCAAAGAGGGGAAGGCTCGTAAAAACCCCATTACCATCTTCTTTGCTTCCTAAACTTTTTTATCTTCCTTTCCCCAACTGTGGAAAAACTTTTATTTATTAGTTATTCTGGAATCTGAAATTTTGGGGTGACAGTGTGAGGTGACACAATCACCGGGCAGTGTTACCCACCCCCTGCTCAACAAAAGCAAGCAAGAAAGACAGAGATGGAGGCCATTATCTTTAGCAAACAAACACAGGAACAGAAAATCAAACACCATATGTTCTCACTTATAAGTGGGAGCTAAATGATGACAACTCATGGACACATATAGGGGAACAACATATACTGTGACCTACTGGAGGGTGGAGGGTGAAGGGTGGGAGGAGGGAAAAAGTCAGGAAAAATAACTACTGTGTAGTAGGCTTAATACCTGGGTGATGACAGCTGTGCAGCAAACCCCCATGACTTGGTTTTACCTGTGTAACAAACCTGCACATATACCCCTGACTGAACTTAAAATTTAAAAAAAGAAAGAAAGGCCTGGCACTGTAGTTCACATCTGTAATTCCAGCACTTTGGGAGGCTGAGGCAGGTGGATCATTTGAGGTCAGGCATTCAAGATCAGCCTAGGCAACATGGTGAAACCCCGTCTCTACTGAAAATACAAAATTAGCTGGGCATGGTGATGCATGCCTGTAATCCCAGCTACTCAGGAAACTGAAGCAGGAGAATCACTTGAATCCAGGAGACAGAAGTCGTAGTGAGCCAAGATTGCGCCACTGCATTCCAGCCTCTTTTTTTGAGACTGTCTCAAAAAAAAAGAGAAGAGAGAAGAGGAGAGAAGAGGAGAGAAGAGAAGAGAAGAAGGAAGGAAGAGACATGGCTGGAAGAATAATCAGCCACTGCAGCCGTGACTGCAGAAGGCTCTTAAGTCTCCCATTTGGTGATGCCAAGCGTAGCCATCAGCCCAGACGGCATATCCCACTTTCATTTGTCTAAAACCCTGCTTTTCCTGCACTCCAGTTGTTCTTCGGGGTATAGAGATAACAATACACAAAAGTGCCTGCCTCAGAAGCAATTTAGATCCCAAAGAGAATGCCATCTCATCCTCACAACAGGAAAAATATAATGTCTCACAAGTGAGCTTTAAGAATAGATACTCTCTAGTAGAAAATGTATGTTTGTGCTAATCTGAAAATTACTCTCTGAATAATTATATTCTCTAAGTTTGATAAAACAAACATAAACCTGAGGTTCAAGTGTTTGACCTATACAATGTAGTAAATAAAGCAAGCAACTGGACATGCCAAAAGTAATTAAGTTGTAAGAATCATCAGAAAAGCCAGACAGGAAATGTCACCCTCCCAAAGATAGAAAGTCTTTAGGAAGATGAATTACTTTTAGTCTCAGCATCAGAGAGTTCTTGAACACCTGCTGAAGATCATGATCACGCTGTGAATAATGAAGTAAATCTCCTTACTTCTCCACTGATATGCTGTGAATATACCAAGTTAAGAAATGTCACTCATGAATTTGTCTTTTTATTTAATAAATTCATCTGAATCCAACTATATCTAATTTCAGAATGTTTGAATAGTACTGTATATTTGTTTGTAATATCTTCTCTTTAAATAGACTTCATATGTATCTTCTGTAAAAAACAGAAAGTGGGGGTGGTGGCACTGGCAGGGGGAGCTCCAAGATGGAATCATTTGTACGAATGGGCCAAAGTCATGTTAGAAACCTCATAGAAAATAAGTTCATGAAATGTCATGAAATAACAACTTTAAACATCAAAAGCTAGAGAACTTGGTGAGAAAGCAGGCAATAAATACCCTTCTCCCCGAATAGGAGAAGGTCAATGTGATGTGATGTAGAGACGGTTTGTGTACAAAAAATATGACCGTGATCTCTCTCTTCCAATGTCACATTAAGGATAACTACTTTTACTCTAGTCAAGGGGAAAAATGTCAGAGAAAAGGAACGACTGAAAAGATAAACTGTCTGAAGAGTAAAAGTAATTCTTTCTCTCTGCTAAGTTGAAAGCAGGATAAATCCTCCTATCAGGGTTCTGATTGCAGGGACTCTGAGCAAAGGCATCACCATCTGATGTACAGTATTTACATATATCCATAAGCCCACATCCGTAGCAAGGGGGAAGGCCAGTGGCAAGCCCAATCCCACTCCTGCTGAATGGCCTAGAAAATGTTTTAGTCTTAAAAAAAAATCCTAATAAGACTAGGAAATTTTTTGCATTACATAATAACAATTGATGTAATATGTGCATTTTTATTTAATTCATTTCATATATGTTGGTATAAATTTTTACTTTTAACTTTTTATTTTGAGAAAGTCTTTGATTTACAGAAAAGCTGTAAAAATGATTCAAAGTTCCTGGCCGCACATGGCAGCTCATGCCTGAAATCCCAACACTTTGGGAGGCTGAGATGGGAGGATTGCTTAAGGCCAGGGATTCAAGACCAGACTGGGCAACATGGCAAGACCCCATCTCTACAATAAATGAACAAATAAAAAATTAACCAAGCATGGTAGTGCATAACTGTAGTTCCAGCTACTCAGGAGGCTGAGCTGGGAGAATCACTTGAGCTCAGGAGTTTGAAGCTGCAGTGAGCTATGATTTGCACCACTGTACTCCAGCCTGGGTGACAGAACAAGATCCCCATCTCTCCAAAAAGAAAAAAGAAAAGAAAAGAAAAAGATTCAAAGTTCCAAATTACCCTTTCCCCAGCTTTCCCTAATGTTTACACTTTACATAACCATACTAAAGTTATCAAAAACTAGGATATTAACATAAGTATAGCACTATTAAGTAAACCACAGATATTATTTGAATTATATCAGTTTTCTACTAATATTCTTTTTTCCCCTTTCTAGGATTTTTTCAAGTGACAAAAATTGTATATATTTATGGTGTACAACATGATGTTTCAAAATACAAACATATTGTGAAATGGCTGAATTGAGCCAACTAATATTTGCATTACCTCATATATTTATCATTTTTTGTCATAAGCATACTTAAAATCTATTCTATTGGAGATTTTCAAGTATACAATACGTTTTTATTAACTATAGTCAATATGTTGTACAATGGGTCTCTTGAACGTTTTCCTCCTAACTAAATTTTGTGCCCTTTGAACAGCATCTCCCCAATTCCTCCATTCCCCCAGCTCCTAGCCACCACCATTCTAGTCTTTGCTTCCATGAGACTTTTTTCAGATTCTGCATATGAGAGAGGGCAGGTGGTACTTGTCCTTCTGAGTCTGGTTGATCTCACTAAGCATAATTGCCTCCAGGTTCATCCATGTCGTTGCAAATGACATGATTTCCTTTTTATTAAAGGCTAAATAGTATTCCATGTGTATATATACCATATTTTCTATATCCATTCATCCACTGATGAACAATTAGGTTGATATCTTGCCAATTGTCGACAATGCGTAATGAACGTGGGAGTGCAGCTATATCTTTTCAACATACTAATTTCCTTTGGATATACACCCAATAGTGGGATTGCTGGATCATATAGTAGTTCTTTTTTTAGTTTTTTGAGAACTCTCCATACTATTTTCTATAATGACTTCACTAATTTACATTCCCACCAGCAGTGTGCAAGAGTTCTCTTTTCTCCACACCCTTGCCAATATTTGTAATCTTTGGTATTTTCTATATTAGCCATTCTAATAGGTGAGTGGTGATATCTCATTCTAAATTTAATTTGCATTTCCCTGATGATTAGTAATGTTGAGCGTTTTTTCATATACCCTGTTTAAAATGGCCTGCCAGCCATTTGTATGTATTCTTTTGAGAAAGGTCTATTCAGGTCCTTTGCCCAATTTTTAATCAAGTTATTTGTTTTCTTTCTAGTTAATTGAGTTCCTTATATAAATTGGATATTTTTAAGAGAATTACTAAACCCTTTCCATACTTTTTCTTCCTTTAAGTCTTTAAATATGATGATGTTAACAATTTACAATCTAGAAATCTGTCTTCAATCCATGATAGGCAAGTCACTAACACTGAAGCCTCAGTTTCCTCTCCTGTAACATAGAAATGATAACAACTACTCTGTTCAATTAATTCTCTCTCTCCCTCCAATTAACTCACTAAGTCATTCACAATTATAAGAAACTTAACCATTAAATCTAACTTTCCCAAAACATGCTCCATGAAAAATAGACTCCATAAAGGAAAATGTCTGTGAAAACCAGCATTTTACATCCCTATCTTGAGAAGTTATATGCATATTAGTTACTAAAAGCTCTAAGAAATCTTGCAATAAATAAACTTAGTTCTTTTCAAATTTATTTGATTATGGAACTCTTTGTTCCCAATAACACACTTTGTTCCCAAGAGAAAACTATGGCAAATATTGCATGAGTTCATGAGACCAATGCATACACCACCACCTACCTGAAGGCCTCTTTCAGGGTGGCAGATGCAGTGCCCAGGAATTAGAAAAATAAATAAATAATTTTGCAAAACTCTTTAATGCCAGCCTTAAAACTAAACCTATAAAGAGACAACAATGGCCCCATTGCAAATATGATTAACTGCATGTTGTTTTCATTTTGAACAAAATCTCTGGTCCAATGGCTCCACAGCAAGTCACCTAAATAGTTTATGAATCACTATTTTAAAAATTCACAATCTTAAAATTTTTAAGATTTTCAGAAAAGGTAAGTCCTAAGTGATTGTTATCACTCTCCAAACACTCTTTGATCTGGGTTCTCCATGTTTACATAGGAGTTTTCCCAGGCTGTCCAGGGTTAGTTCTCCATGGGATCTGGCACCAGGCTTGTCACACTGCTTTCCTCAAGGTTGTGCCAAAACTAAACATTTTTTTAGTTTATAAAATGATATAAATATCATTTTACATTCAACTCACACAAAAAATTGATTTCTGTTAGGTATTAGTCTCCAAGAGACATATAACCACCAATGGACAGACATTCAGATTACCTGATCAGCCACTTGGGAAATATTTATTTAAAGCATGATATGACAACCCCTATGTCTATCAGTGTGCAACCTAATGAATAAAATATTATGTAGCCACATAATATGGTACTGTGCAGCTATCAAAAGAAATAAAATGATCTTCAGAATGTATTGTTACATGAGAAAACAAGGTCCAGTAGAGTGCATCTAGTATACTACATTTGTGTAGAAAGGGGAAAAGATTTATGAATTGATATATGTATAAATATTCATATTATTATCTTATATATGCATGTGTGTGGGTTTGCTTATGCTTTTAAAAAGAAATAAGTAAACTAAAACATACACTAAAAACTAATTTTTAAAATTCATTTGTTAAAAGGGTATAGAGAACAGACAGGAATGAATACTCCAAATGTACCTTGTTTCATAGTTTTGATTTTGGAATCATGTACAAGTTTTAGATTATTAAAAACCAAGGTTAAATAAAAAGGAAAAAATCAAAACAACTCTTAAAAAACAAACTGATAGAAATAAGCCTAATTATACATCAAGTAGATTTTCAAAGATCAAATTTCAACCATACATTTCAATGGAAAATATCCTGAGGAAAAAAAGAACCACAGAGAAATCTCAAAAATTCAATGGTCCTGTTGTTTATGGAAGTATCATTAGGAATTATGTTAAAGTCACTAGGAATAATGGAATTACGTTAATTAGGGAAATTAATTCATCAGAAATTTTCATGATGCCACATAAAAGACACTAATGCAAAAAAAGGTACCACTCGTAGTAATTGTTTTTTTTTTTTTGAGATAGATTTCGCTCTTGTTGCCAAAGCTGGACTGCAATAGCACGATCTTGGCTCAGTGCAACCTCTGCCTCCTGGGTTCATGCGATTCTCTTGCCTTAGCCTCTGGAGTAGCAGGGATCACAGGCATGTGTCACCACACCTTGCTAATTTTGTATTTTTAGTACAGCTGGGGTTTCTCCATGTTGGTCAGGCTGGTCTCGAACTCCCGACCTCATGTGATCCACCAGCCTCGGCCTCCCAAAGTGCTGGGATTACAGGCATGAGCCACCACGTGTAGTAATTCCTAAACATCAGTTGCTTTAAGATATGAAATGCTAGTGTTAATATAAAAATAATTATGCTTTTTTTTCCTTTTTTTAAATTATTATACTTTAGGTTCTGAGATACAATGTGCAGAACGTGCAGGTTTGTTACATAGGTATATATGTGCCATGGTGGCTAGCTGCACCCATCAACCCGTCATCCACATTAGGTATTTCTCCTAATGCTATCCCTCCCCTTGCCTGCCAACCCCTGATAGGCCCTGGTGTGTGACGTTCCCCTCCATGTGCCCATATGTTCTCATTGTTCAACTCCCACTTATGAGTGAGAACATGTGGTGTTTGTTTTCTGTTCCTCTGTTAGTTTGCTGAGAATGATGATTTCCAGTTTCATCCATGTCCCTGCAAAGGACATGAACTCATTCTTTTTTTATGGCTGCATAGTATTCCATGGTGTATATGTGCCACATTTTCTTTATCCAATCTAACATTGATGGGCATTTGGGTTAGTTCCAAGTCTTTGCTATTGTGAGCAGTACTGCCATAAACATATGTGTGCATGTGTCTTTATAGTAGAATGATTTATAATCCTTTGGGTATATACCCAGAAATGGGATTGCTGGGTCAAATGGTATTTCTAATTCTAGATCCTTGAGAAATCACCCCACTGTCTTCCACAATGCTTGAACTAATTTACACTCCCACCAACAGGGTAAAAGTGTTCCTATTTCTCCACAGCCTCTCCTGCATCTATTGTTTCCTGACTTTTTAATGATTGCCATTCTAACTGGCATGAGATGGTATCTCATTATGGTTTTAATTTGCATTTCTCTAACGACCAGTGATGATGAGCTTTTTAAAATATGTTCATTGGCCGAATAAATGTCTTATTTTGAAAAGCGTCTGTCCATATCCTTCGCCCACTTTTTGATGGGGTTGTTTTTTCTCTTGTAAATTTGTTTAAGTTCCTTGTAGATTCCGGATATTAGCCCTTTGACAGATGGATAGATTGCAAAAATTTTCTCCCATTCTGTAGGTTGCCTGTTCACTCTGATGACAGTTTCTTTTGCTGTGCAGAAGCTCTTTAGTTTAATTAGATCTCATTTGTCAATTTTGGCTTTTGTTGCAATTGCTTTTGGTGTTTTAGTCTTGAAGTCTTTGCCCATGCTTATGTCCTGAATGGTATTGCCTAGGTTTTCTTCTAGGGTTTTTATGGTTCTAGGTTTTACATTTAAATCTTTAATCCCTCTTGAGTTAATTTTTGTATAAGGTGTAAGGAAGAGGTCCAGTTTCAGTTTTCTGCATATGGCTAGCCAGTTTTCCCAACACCACTCATTAACTAGGGAATCCTTTCCCCATTGCTTGTTTTTGTCAGGTTTGTCAAAGATCAGATGGTTGTAGATGTGTGGTGTTATTTCTGAGGTCTCTGTTCTGTTCCATTGGTCTATATTTCTGTTTTGGTACCAGCACCATGCTATTTTGATTACTGTAGCCTTGCAGTATAGTTTGAAGTCAGGTAGCATGATGCCTCCAGCTTTGTTCTTTTTGCTTAGAATTGTCTTGGCTATACCGGCTCCTTTTTGGTTCCATATGAAATTTAAAGTAGTTTTTTCTAATTATGTAAAGACATTCAATGGAAGCTTGACAGAAATAGCATTGAATCTATAAATTACTTTGGGCAGTATGATCATTTTCACTATATCGATTCTTCCTATCCATGAACATGGAAAGTTTTTCTATTTGTTTGTGTTCTCTCTTATTTCCTTGAGCAGTGGTTTGTAGTTCTCCTTGAAGAGGTCCTTCGCATCCCTTGTAAGTTGTATTCCTAGGTATTTTATTCTCTTTGTAGCAATTGTGAATGGGAGTTTGCTCATGATTTGTCCCTCTGTTTGTCTGTTATTGGTGTGTAGGAATGCTTGTGATTTTTGCATATTGATTTTGTATCCTGAGACTTTGCTGAAGTCACTTATCAGCTTAAGGAGTTTTGGACTGAGACGATGGAGTTTTCTAAATATACAATCATGTCATCTGCAAACAGATAATTTGACTTCCTCTCTTCCTATTTGAACACCCCTTATTTCTTTCTCTTGCTTAATTGCCCTGGCCAGAACTTCCAATACTATGTTGAATAGGAGTGGTGAGAGAGGGCATCCTTGTCTTGTGTCGGTTTTCAAAGGGAATGCATCCAGCATTTGCCCATTCAGTATGATATTGCCCATTCAGTATGATATCAGTGGGTTTGTCATAAATAGCTCTTATTATATTGAGATATGTTCCACAAATACCTAGTTTATTGAGTGTTTTTAGCATGAAGGGGTGTTGAATTTTATTGAAGGGCGTTTCTGCATCTATTGAGATAATCATGTGGTTTTTGTCATTGGCTCTGTTTATGTGATGGATTACGTTAATTGATTTGTGTATGTTGACCCAGCCTTGCATCCCAGGGATGAAGCCAACTTGATCATGGTGGATAAGCTTTTTGATGTGCTGCTGGATTCAGTTTGCCAGTATTTTATTGAGGATTTTCACATTGATGATCATCAGGAACATTGGCCTGAAGTTTTCTTTTTTTGTCAGGTTTTCATATCAGGACGATGCTGGCCTCATAAAATGAGTTAGGAAGGAGTCCGTCTTTTTCTATTGTTTTGAATAGTTTCAGAAGGAATGACACCAGCTTGTCTTTGTACCTCTGATAGAATTCGGCTGTGAATCTGTCTGGTCCTGGTCTTTTTTTTGGTTGGTAGGCTATTAATTACTGCCTCAATTTTAGAACTTGTTATTGGTCTATTCAGGGATTTGACTTCTTCCTGGTTTAGTCTTGGGAGGGTGTGTGTGTCCAGGAATTTATCCATTTCTTCTAGAATTTCTAGTTTATTTGCATAGAGGTGTTTATAGTATTCTCCGATGGTAGTTTGTATTTCTGTGGGACCAGTGGTGATCTCCCCTTTATCATTTTTTATTGTGTCTATTTGATTCTTTTCTCTTTTCTTCTTTATTACTCTGGCTATCCATTTTGTTAATCTTTTCAAAACAAAAACAGCTCCTGGATTCATTGATTTTTTTGAAGCGTTTTTTGTGTCTCTATCTCCTTCAGTTCTGCTCTGATCTTAGTTATTTCTTGTCTTCTGCTAGCTTTTGAATTTGTTTGCTCTTACTTCTCTAGTTCTTTGAATTGTGATGTTAGGGTGCTGATTTTAGATCTTTCCTGCTTTCTCCTGTGGGCACTTGTGCTGTAAATTTCCCTCTAAACACTGCTTTAGCTGTGTCCCAGAGACTCTGGTACATTGTGTCTTTGTTCTCATTGGTTTCAAAGAACTTATTTATTTCTGCCTTAATTTCGTTATTTACCCAGTAGTCATTCAGGAACAGGTTGTTCAGTTTCCATGTAGTAGTTTGGTTTTGAGTGAGTTTCTGAATCCTGAATTCTAATTTGATTGCACTGTGGTCTGAGAGACTGTTTGTTATGATTTCCATTCTTTTGCATTTTCTGAGAAGTGTTTTACTTCCAATTATGTGGTCCATTTTAAAATAAGTGCTATGTGGTGCTGAGAAGAATGTATATTCTGTTGATTTGGGGTGGTGAGTTCTGTAGATGTCTATTAGGTCTGCTTGGTCTAGAGCTGAGTTCCAGTCCTGAATATTCTTGCTAATTTTCTGCCTCGTTGATCAGTTGAATATTGGCAGGTGGATGTTAAAGTCTCCCACTAGTACTGTGTGGGAGGCTAAGTCTCTTTGTAGGCCTCTAAGAACTTGCTTTATGAATCTGGGTGCTCCTGTATTGGGTGCATATATATTTAGGCTAGTTAGCTCCTCTTGTTGCATTGATCCCTTTACCATTATGTAATGCCCTTCTTTTTCTTTTTTGATCTTTGTTGGTATAAAGTCTGTTTTACCAGAGTCTAGGATTGCAATCCCTGCTTTTTTTTTCTTTTTTTTTTCTTTCCATTTGCTTGGTAAATATTCCTCCATCCCTTTATTTTGAGCCATGTGTGTCTTTGCACATGAGATGGGTCTCCTGAATACAGCACACCAATAGGTCTTGAGTCTTTATCCAATTTGCCAGTCTGTGTCTTTTAATTGGGGCATTTAGCCCATTTACATTTAAGGTTAATATTGTTATGTGTGAACTTGATCCTGTCATTATAATGCTAGCTGGTTATTTTCCGATTAGTTGATGTAGTTTCTTCATACTGTCAATGGTCTTTATATTTTGGTTTGCTTTTGCAGTGACTTGTACTGGTTTTTCCTTCCCATATTTAGTGCTTCCTTCAGGAGCTCTTGTAAGTCAGGCCTGGTGGTGACAAAATCCCTCAGCATTTGATTATCTGCAAAGGACTTTATTTCTCCTTCACTTATAAAGCTTAGTTTGGCTGGATATGAAATTCTGGGTTGAAAATTCTTTTCTTTAAGAATGTTGAATATTGGTCCCCACTCTCTTCTGGCTTGCAGGGTTTCTGCAGAGAGATATGCTGTTAGTTTGATGGGCTTCCCTTTGTGGGTAACTCGATTTTTCTCTCTGGCTGCCCTTAACATTTTTCCCTTCATTTCAACCTTGGTAAATCTGACGATTATGTGTCTTGGGGTTGCTCTTCTCAAGGAGTATCTTTGTGGTGTTTTCTGTATTTCCTGAATTGGAATGTTGGCCTGTCTTGCTCAGTTGGGGAAGTTCTCCTGGATAATATCCTGAAGAGTATTTTCCAACTTGGTTCTATTCTCCTTGTCACTTTCAGATACACCAATCAAATGTAGGTTTGGTCTTTTCACATAGTCCCATATTTCTTGGAGGCTTTGTTCCTTCCTTTTCATTCTTTCTTTCTCTAATCTTGTCTTCATGCTTTATTTCATTAAGTTGATCTTCAATCTCTGATATCCTTTCTTTCACTTGATCAATTCAGCTATTGATACTTGTGTATGCTTCATGAAATTCTTGGGCTGTGTTTTTCAGCTTCATCAGGTCGTTTATGTTCTTCTCTAAACTAGTTATTCTAGTTAGCAATTCCTCTAACCTTTTATCAAGGTTATTAGCTTCCTTGCATTGGGTTAGAGCATGCTTGTTTAGCTTGGAGGATTTTGTTATTACCCACCTTCTGAAGCCTACTTCTGTCAATTCATCAAACTCATTCTCCATCCAGTTTTGTTCCCATTCCTGGCAAGGAGTTGTAATCCTTTGGAAGATAAGAGGTATTCTGATTTTTGGAATTTTCACCCTTTTTATGCTGGATTTTCCTCATCTTCATGGATTTATCTACCTTTGGTCTTTGCTGTTGGTGACCTTAGGATGAAGTTTTTGCATGGTCGTCCTTTTTGTTGATGTTGATGCTACTGCTTTTTGTTTATTAGTTTTCCTTCTAACAGTCAGGCCCCTTTGCTGCAGGTCTGCTGGAGTTTGCTGGGGGTCCACTCCAGACCCTGTTTGCCTGGGTATCACCAGCAGAGGCTGCAGAACAGCAAAGATTGCTGTGTATTCCTTCCTCTGGAAGCTTCGTCCCAGAGGGGCACCTGCCAGATGCCAGCCGGAACTCCCCTGTATGAGGTGTCTCTCGACCCCTGCTGGGAGATATTTCCCCGTCAGAAGGCACAAGGGTCAGGGACCCATTTGAGGAGGCCGTCTGTCCCTTAGCAGAGCTCGAGCACTGTGCTGGGAGATCCGTTGCTCTCTTTAGAGCCGTTAGGCAGGAACGTTAAAGTCTGCTGAAGCTGCGCCTACAGCCGCCCCTTCCTGCAGGTGCTCTGTCCCAGGGAGATGGGAGTTTTATCCATAATCCCCTGACTGGGGCTGCTGCCTTTCTTTCAGAGATGCCCTGCCCAGAGAGGAGGAATCTAGAGAGGCAGTCTGGCTACAGTGGCTTTGTGGCACTGCAGTGGACTCCACACAGTCCGAACTTCCAGGCGGCTTTGTTTACACTGTGAGGGGAAAACTGCCTACTCAAGCCTCAGTAATGGTAGACGTCCCTCCCCCTTCCAAGCTAGAGTGTCCCAGGTCAATTTCAGACTGCTGTGCTGGCAGCAAGAATTTCAAGCCAGTGGATCTCAGCTTGATGGGTTCCATGGGGTGGGATCCATTGAGCAAGACCACTTGGCTCCCTGGCTTCAGCCCCTATTCCAGGGGAGTGAACGGTTCTGTCTCGCTGGTGTTCCAGGTGCCACTGAGGTATGAAATAAAACTCCTGCAGCTAGTTCGATGTCTGCCCAAACAGCCGCCCAGTTTTGTGCTTGAAACCCAGGGCCTTTGTGGTGTAGGCACCTGAGGGAATCTCCTGGTCTGTAGGTTGCGAAGACTGTGGGAAAAGCGTAGTATCTGGTCCTGATAGCACTGTCCCTCATGGCAGGGTCCCTCTTGGCTTCCCTTGGATAGGAAGGGAGTTCCCCAACCCCTTGCACTTCCCGGGTGAGGCAATGCCCCACCCTGCTTCTGCTCGCCCTCCATGGGCTGCACCCACTGTCTAACCAATCCCAGTGAGATGAACCGGGTGCTTCAGTTGGAAATGCAAAAATCACCCGCCTTCTGTGTTGGTCTCACTGGGAGCTGCAGACCAGAGCTGTTCCTATTCAGCCATCTTGCCTGGGAGCCAATAATTGTAAGTCTTAAGTGGCA
This sequence comes from Homo sapiens, assembly GCF_000001405.40. Taxonomy (NCBI): domain Eukaryota; kingdom Metazoa; phylum Chordata; class Mammalia; order Primates; family Hominidae; genus Homo; species Homo sapiens. The sequence continues at coordinate 198,017,905 of NC_000002.12, read as the reverse complement.
AAGATAGAATCTCATTTATCTTTGAAATTCCCACACAATCAAGAACAGTATATAATATATACTTAAATGTCTACTGTTGAATGAATGCCTGACCAGTGTTGCCCAGGGAATACATGTAAACTTGCTGAAAAATATTTTTTGAGTTAAAATTTTGCGGAATAAAGTTTAACATTTTGGATAACTATGTTATTACTAAAGCATTAAGAACATTCTTATGTGTGCCTATTGGCAAAAGCAGAGATTCTCTTAGAGCTGAGAAATCAACAAGCCAAATATCATTACAATGTGCTACCCAGGTCTGTCCAAATCTTTATGCTATGTTAGAATAATGTCAACAATTGGCTTGGAACTCTTAGGGTTACATTAAGACATACAAAGAGAACAATTTTTTTGTCCTTTCATTCTTTACATAAGTACTGAGTGCCTGCTATATGGAAAATCTTTCCTAGATTCCTCTTTTATGGTAGGCAGCTGCATAGGATGGAAGACAACCTCTGCAGATTTAACTGGACAAAGGCACTGTCATCCTTCTTATTCAGCCAACCTGAGTCTCCTCAGACATTACAATTTAAACCATGCCCCCAGTTCTAAGGCTGAATCGTGTAAGATAATTCTCGACTGTGTAGGAGGAAGCAGGTGTTTAAAACTGGTCAGAATCCAAGGTCTTGGCCCCATGTCTATTGTTCTTTGTGAAGGTGAATTCCTGTTGTGTTTTTGGAGCATGTTAAATGGGCATCATATGTGTCATTGTGGTTTTAATCATAATAAAAATACACTGGGCAATTTTGGCAATGCATAGGGATTGTCACACAATATGGTACATATTATTTTCCTGGTCACTATCATGCCTTTAAGAGTTTATTTCATATGGCTCCACCTTCATTCCCCTATTACCGCCTCCCCACCAAAATCTGCAGAAGCACGGCATGAAAAGCACCAGTCTCCATGCCCTTCATGGTCTCTAACTTTGAGAAATTTGTTGAAAGGCAGTCCAGAAGTGGCAGTATAAGCATTAAGTGCTGACTGGATACTGAGGACTCTGCAAGGCACAAGGAAGGTAGAAAAGCATAAAATGTTTCATGTCTTCAAGACTCTCACCATGCTCTGAGGGAAATGAGGATTACAGAGGAAACAACCCGAGGATAACCTGATACTGAGCTTTGTAACCTCAAGTTCGTTCAAAGTTGAGCCCTAAGTAATAAGCAAAACAGACTAAGTGCCAGCCATGGTAGAAGACGCCTTACCTGTGTCAGTCTCAATCCTCACACAATCCTGTAAACAAAGTTTTATTACCCCCATTTTAGAGTCGAGGAAGCTATAGATCAGGAAGTTAAATAATTTGCTCAAGTCTCCCAGCTAGAAAGAGCCAGAGCTGAGATTTGAATACAGAACTACCTGTGACCCCAAAATATTTCCACTAGACTGCAGCCACTGTGCTTACAGTTGCGTAGAGCACTGCAGTTTATAAATAGCTTTCTTAGAAGGAAGACAGCCACATGGGACTTGAAGAGAGGAGCATCAAAGAAAGCTCCAGGGTGAGCAAATTCAATGTTTTCAAGTTGACGGGAAACAATTTTCTCACACAAAACTGGTTTGTTTTCTGTGAGCACGACAAGTAACATGAGCATGTAGATCTTTTACTCTTCTTCCAACCTGCTCTCCTATTAATTGGCTGTTACCACCTTGACCCTAGAAGTAAAAGACTCTGTGGATCAGCCAGAACTTCAAATGTGTTACTACTGACTAGATCCATTCATCTGTCCCTCCTCAGCCACATCTACCTCCCCACTGAGTGAGGCATTAGTGTCACTATTTTACATGATACTACACAGGGCATTTTAGCACTTTTGAAAGTTAAGAAAAAAGGTTTTTTTCACTCACATGTCAGACTTATTGTACATTTTACAAAAATGTTTTCCAACATATACAATCTATTGTAATTTAGAAAGATCATGTCAGGTAAGTTGTAAAAAAAGTTTACCTTCAGCAAGATAGTCATATATATTTTTTAATGCATCATTCTAAGCACCACTGTTTTACTATAAAGTGTTTTCAAATGAGCACTCAAAATTTTGGCTCCAGTGTTTTAAACATACTGCAACAACTTCATTTATCACACATATGCTCTGAGTACAGTATTTGGAGTAGGTTACCACCACCGTGACCACCCTCGTTATCTTACACTATGCATATCACATATGTAAGTATATTTTTATCCATTTGTTAACTCGGAGCTGTCTGTCTCTCTCATTAGAGTGTAAGCCACTTTATTCACCATTTGTATTAACAAGTAGTACCTGGCCCACTTAATAAGTATCTGTTGAATGAATAAGTCATTTCCACACCAAGAAATAAAGTCAATATATTTCTTACCTCATTATTAGCTTAACAGGTATTAACTGATTACTCACCATAACCAACAAGACTTATTATAAACCAACTAAATCTAGGTCAAAAAACTTTTGCTTTCTGATTTTTAAGTGACTACTTTAAATCGTAAAAACAAAATAAAAGTGTGGAAAAAATGTGCCTTATGAGAGAATGTGTTATATTTTTTGCTAAGTACTATATTGCTTTTTATATTTATGCTTGTAAATATATCTTACAGTGACACTTTTTATTATGCTTGTGGGGTCCCACTAAATGCTTCTTCATTATCCCTAAAATGAACAAGATAGAAAGATAGATTTGTAGATAGATAGATAGATAGGCAAGAACAGTAAAATAACCAACATGCAGTTATAATCTCTATAAGCTTTGAGATTTGATGAAATAGAAGGAAAATAGCCTGTTTCTAGTGGAGTGGAAATCAAGTTTCTTCATTTTATCTTCCACTGAAACGCCGAACATGTAAGTGTCAAGGAAAAGTAGGCAATAAGTTTTTAAACATTAAAACAAATTGACTCAGAGACTATATCAGAGGAAGCAATATGGATAACTTCACTGGCTACTGCTATACAAAATTGCATGAGGCTCAAAAATATATGGGGGGAAAAATTCCTGTAATAAGCCTACGTTTTCAGAATTGATGACATAAAAAGGAAAACAATTTGCACAAGTAGAACACTTCTGTACACCCCCTAGAGATCAAAAACCTTAAAACAACTGCCACAGGGTGTAGCTAGTATTAAGTGAATTATTTGCAAAGGCTAATCTGTGTGTATACTTGAACCGAGCCATGAATCAATCATTTAAAATGAACACTTCAGGAAAATGCAAGAATTGTTTATGCAGTCATTACAGATGCTGTTGCATATTATCTATTTAAAAAAATTCAGTATTATATATTTTTCAGCATAAAACTTCCCACATGGTTATAATAAAGATAACATAAACAACAAAATTAACAAGAAAAAAAAGGTCTAATACCTATTGAGAGCTTATCATGTGCCAGGCACTGGACTAATTACTTCTTTATACACAGAGTAGTACATTTAATTCCAATCAGAATCAATTAAATTGTGGTCCTACCATTGTGCTCACTTTACAGATGAGGAAACTGACTATTGGAGGAATAACTTGACCAAGCTCACATTGATGGTAAATGGAGGAATTTGTATTTGAACTCAAGCAGTCTGATGCTTGAGCCAAAGTTAGGCTCTTCACTAATAAGCTATTGTTACACCCTAAGAATTTTCATTCCTTTGAAACAGACATCACTTTTCTTTCAACCCCAAACTTTTCTACCTAAGACAGCCAGAGAATTATTAAGGCAGAGCATGTCCTCATGTGTAGCACACCAGTTCCTTGTATTAGACTGTGCTGCTTTCTATGAAATAAAAGGCTACTTTTTAAACCAATTATCTAAATGGACTATGTTCTGAGATGCTTTTCTAGAAATGATGATCCATTCACATTCTTTTACCTAGTTCAGCTTGGGAGTCATGACACACAGGTTGAAACAGGCCAAGAAGAATTAGGAACAAAAGCTGTGGCCATAAAGAGCGCAGAGTTCACTACTTTATAGTCTCACATGCTCAACTAGCCACAAACAACATTAAGATTTTAAAAGAGGTGTGAATTATAATAATCATGCTTATTCCAAATCCCCAGAGTATTCATACCAAAGGAAGAAAAGTTTAATGTTCACACAAAATATTGTTTTAATTTACTTCAGCTATATAAAATGATACATTAAGCCCACTTAGATGTTTAAATCCCCAGCTGCACTGGTTCATTGGTGTTTCATAATTATTCATCTCACACACATTCTCACAGCTTTCTTATATGTTTGTCTATAATTGGTCTAATCGCCACCCATATTTGCCTTAAATTCAGACCACCTATGATACGCTTTCTCAGATTTTCCTAGGGAAAGTCAAAAGATTTTTAGTTAAGCTGTAGTCAAATAAAACAGCAAACCACTTTCTAGTATAATATTAATCAGCATGGTACATAGACACAGAGTCTTGGAGTAAGAAGATTTACCCAAAAGGTAAACCCCAAAAGTCAATTAATGGGATTCATCTGGGAAACAAAAAGGCTTAAGGGAAAAGCGATAGTCCTAATAAAGTGGTCACAATCAAAGGATGATGATAACAGTCTCATTTAGTCTCAGCACTTACAATCACAAACTGATCTTCAATATCACCATATATAAAACCTAGAACCAGGAGTGATAACATTAAAATGGCAAAATAGGAAGCCCTGGACTCCCCTTCAACCACAAAAATATGAACTTAAAAATGACCAATGGACCAATGCCCCTGAGAGAAATCTAGAAACCAGTTAAAAGGATCCTGCACCCCAGGCAAGTGCAAAGCCAACCATATCAAAGCCTGCTAGAAAAATTAACACTTATAAATCTGGTATAGATTTTTAAAATCTATTTAATAAAGCATAAAAAGTAATGATAAATCTATGTTCATGGATATGAAATATGACGGCAGATAATTGTGTCATCAATAACATAAACTGGGAGGGGGCAGAGATGTAAAAGGTTTTCTACATGATTGTAGTTAAGTTGTTATCAGTTTAAAATACAGTGTCATAATTTTAAGATGTTTTATCTCATTGCAATGATAACCACAAATAAACTATCTATAGAATATATGTAAGGTATGCTTTGTCATCAGAACACTAAACCTCTTTCAGTTTGGTGTTTCCCAATTCATGAACTGCTTCTTACTCAAACTCGTTAAGGTTTATATATATGTAATATATATAAATTTTTATATATACACATATACACACAGCTACACACAAAGGAAAATGAGAGGAGAATCAAAACATGTCACTACAAAAAAAAATGAAACACGAAGACAACAAGAGAAGAAATGAGGGACAAAAACAATAAGAAAACAATAAAATAGCAATAGTAAGTCCTTCCCTATCAGTAATTACCTTAAATGTAAATAGCTTAAATGCACCAATTAAAAGACACATATTGGCCGAAGGACTTAAAAAAATAAGATCCAACCATATGTTGTGTCTATAAGAGACTCAATTTAGCACTAGAGACAGTGCAGAACGAATTCCAAGATGGCCTTGACTGACTGCACTCTTCCCCACTTTCTCAATTGTAGTTCTCAAAAATAACTGTAGGATATATTAGGAGTGCAGCATCTTGAGATAAGGAGAAAGTATCTGAAACAGCTTGGGCTCTGTTCCTGTCCCTCCAAGAATAGGATGCCCTGCAGCACTTTAGCCCAGCAATCCCCATTGCCCCTGGGTATACAATCCAGAGTAGACTGCTTTCAAAGTTCTTCACCTGCACTGCAAAGTAGGTAACACACAGAAAGATTCCATTCACTCTGAGCTTTGGGGAACTATGAATCCTAGGCTTTTGTTGTCCCTTGCTGCCTAACTGTGCCTATAAAGTTGCTTCACTTAACTTGTTTGAGTGTTCTGTCTCATACAATTGATAGAAATTAGAATTACTGATTGGTAATCAGTGAACCTGCCTTACAGACACACATAGGCTACAGTAAAAGGGTTAAAAAAAGATATTCTATGTAAACAGGAACCTACAGAGAGGAGAAGTGACCAGAGTTGTATCAAACAAAGTAGACATTAGGACAAAAATTGTCACAAGAGACAACGAAGAATACTGTATAATGATAAAAGGGTCAATTCACCAGGAAGATATAACAGTAAAAAAACAGATATGTACTTAACATTACAGCACCTAAATAAATGAAGCAAAATTGACAGACCTGGAGAGAGAAATAGACACCAATATGATAATAGTAGAAGACTTCAATACCCCACTCTCAGTTATCAACAGAATCAGAGAGAAGATCAATAAGGAAACAAGAGGACCTGAACAACACAACAGACCAACTGGGTCTACAGATATATATATACAACATCCAACAACAGCAGAACACACATTATTCTCAAGCGCACATGGAACATTCCCAAAATAGACCACATGTTAGGCCACAAAATAAATCTTAACAAATTTAAGAAGATTGAAATCATATAAAATACCTTCTCCAATCAAAATAAAATAAAACTAAAAATCAATAGCAGAAAGAAAATAGGAAAATCCAGTAATATGTGGAAATTAAACAATGCACTCATAAACAACTAATGAGTCTAAGAAGAAATCACAAGATAATTTAGAAAATATCTGGAGACAAGTGAAAAGAAAAACACAACATACAAAACTTATGGAATGCAGTGAAAGCAGTAGTAAAAGGGAAGTGCATAGCAGTAAACATCTACATTAAAAAAGAAAAAAGATCTAAAATCAACAACCTAAATTTATACCTTCAGTAACTAGAAAAAGAAAAACAAACTAAATTCAAAGTTAGCAGAGCAAAGGAAACCATAAAAATTAGAGTAGAGATAAATCAAATAAAGAATAGAAACAATCAGTGACTCCAAGGGATGGTTTTCCCAAAAAAACAACAAAATTGACAAATCCTTAGCTAGACTAACAAAGAAAAAAGAGAGAAGACTCTATGGCTAAAATTAGAAAAGAAAAAAGAGATATTACCACTGATGTCACAGCAATAAAAAATATACTACTATGAGCAATTATATGCCAACAAATTGGATAATCTAAAAAAAGACAAATTCCTAGAAACATACAACCTATCAAGACGGAAACAGATCTATAACTAGTGAGGAGATTGAAGCAGTAATAAAAAAAAAAAATAACCTTCCAAAAGAGAAAATCCCAGGACCATGTGGCTTCTCTGAATAATTGTATCAAATACTTAATGAATAATGATTACCAATCCTCCTCAAATTCTGCCAAAAAAATTAAGAGAGAACAATTCCAAACTCATTCTATGAGGCTAGCATTATCCTAATACCAAAACCAGAAAAAGACACACAAAAAAAACTGTAGACCAATATGTCTGATGAATACTGATGCAAAAACCCTAAACAAAATAATAGCAAACCAAATTCAAGCACACGTTGATCACACCATGATCAAGAGGGATTTATAAATGAAATGAAAGAATAGTTCAAAATATAAAAATTAACCAATGTAATAACCAAATTAAGAAAATGGACAAAAACCAAATGATCATCTCAATCAATGCAGAAAAGACATTTGATAAAATTCAACATGCTTTCATGATAAATACACTCAACAAACTAGGAATAGAAGGAAACTACCTCAACATAATAAAAGCCATATATGAAATGCCCACAGCTAACATCATATTCGATGAGAAAAGACTAAAAGCTTTTACTCTAAGATCAGGAACAAGGCAAAGATGCCCACTCTTGCCACGACTATTCGATACATTGCTACAAGTTCTTACCAGAGCAATTAGACAAGAAAAAGAAATAAAAAGCCTAAAATTTGGAAAAGAAGAACCTAAATTGTCTCTGCTCACAAATGACATGGTCTTTTAAGTCACACACACAAAAATGTTAGAACTAATAAATGAATTTAGAAAAGTTTGCAGGATTCAAAATCGATGATCAAAAATCAGTTGCATTTTCTATACATTAACAAGACCAATCTGGAAAGAAAATTAAGAAAATAATTCTGTTAACAATAGCCTCAAGAAGGATTAAATACTTAGGAAAAAACTTAACCCAGGAGATAAAAGACTTATACACTGAGAACTACAAAACATTGCAAAAAGAAATCAAAGAAGATACAAGTAAATGGAAAGACATCCCATGCTCATGGGTTGAAAGACTTAATATTGTAAAGTTGTCCATAATACCCAAAGCAACCTACAGATACAATGCAAACTCTATAAAAATTCCAATGACACTTTTTGCATAAACAGAAAAATAATTATAAAATTCTACAGGATCTTAAGGGGCCCAAAAGAGCCAAAACAATCTTGAAAAAGAACAAAGTCAGAGGCATCACACTTCTTGATTTCAAAACCTACTGCAAAGAAACAGTAATTAAGACAGTGTGGTATGGCCTAAAGTAAGATACATAAACCAACGGAGTAAAATAGAGAGCCCAGAAATAAACCACTGCATATATGACCAAATGATTTTCAGCAAGAGTGCCAAGACCACACAACAGAGAAAAGACAGCCTCTTCAACAAGTAGTGTTGGAAAAATAGGATATTCAAATGCAAAAAGAGTGAATTTGGGCCCTTGCCTTGTACCATACATAAAAATTAACTCAAAATGAATTAAAGACCTAAAAATTAGACTTAAAACTGTTAAACTCCTAGAAAGAAACATAGGGGTAAAGCCTCAGGACTTTGAATTTAGCAATGATTTCTTAAATATGACACCAAAAGCACAGACAACGAAATCAAAAATAAACAAATGGAATGACACAAAAACTTTTTCATGTCAAAGGAAACAATCAACAGAGTGAAATTGCAACCTATAAAATGGGAGAAAATAATTGCAAATAATATATCTGAAAAGGGGTTAATATCCAAAATATATAAGAAACTTTAACAACAACAAAAAAATTGATTCTAAAATAGGCAAAGAACTTAAACTGACATTTCTCCAAAGAAGATATACAAATGGCCCATAAGCACTTGAAAAGATGATAACATTACTAATCATTAGAAGAGTGCAAATAAAAACCACAATGAAATATCACCTCATACTCATCAGGATGGTCACCATCAAAAGAGCGTAAAATACCAAGCATTGGTGAAGATGTAGAGAAGATGGAACCCTTGTGTATTATTGGTGGGAATGTAAAATGATGCAGCCATTACAGAAAATAGCATGGAGGTTCCTCCAAAAATTCAAAATAGAATTACTATATGATCCAACAATCCCATTTGTGGGTATATATCCAAAAGAATTCAGAAAAGGATCTTGAAGAGATACTTGGACACCCATTCCTTGTGGCATTATTCTCAATAGCCAAGAGATAGAAGCAGTCCAAATGTCCATCAACAGATGAATAAGTAAGGAAAATGTAAATATATACAATGGGATATTATGCAGCCTTAAAAAAAAAAAAGAAAATCTTGTCACATGCTACAATAAGAATGAAACTCGAGGACATTACGTTAAGTGAAATAGTCACAAAATGACAAACACTGTATGATTCCATTCATATGAAGTATCTAAAGTGGTCAAATTCATAGAAACAGAAAGTAGAATGGTAATTTCCAGGGTCTGAGGAGAAGGAGAAATGGGGAGTTGTTTCATGAGTAGAGAGTTTCAGTGTAACAAGACGAAAAAGTTGTAGCAATCTGCTGCACAACAATGTGAGTATATTTAACACTACTGAACCCTACACTTAAAAATGGTTGAGATGGTAAATTTAATGTTATGTGCTTTTTACCATAATTTTTAAAAATCTAAAACCAAGCCCAAAGAATTACTTAAGCACATGCAATATAGTATGAAAAAAATTGGAAGAGTTCATTGTGATTTTAAGTCAAACTTTACATTTCTGGAGGTAATAAGACTTGAGGTGATCACTAACATATCTCTAACAATCTCAACGTGGAATAGGGAGTAGTAAAAGTAAACAATGAAATAATGATCATGTTATGTTACTGGAGTCCCTTTTTGCCTTGGCTGCTGGGAGGCTTAGAAATAATTATTAGTACTCGCTTTCAATGAATGTATTAGCCTAGGTTTGGGTGGCATATTTATTTCCCTCTCCCTGTAAAAGCATTCAAATTATTATCTAATTGCATATATCTTTCCTTATAAACATTATATCTTTTATGGAGACAGTCAGGGTGTAAATTATAGATAAATTGAGAAATATCAATGGTTGTGGAGCAAGAGAGCTGGAATCTGAACAAATGCTTAATGAAACACAGACCTGACTATATCCAAGTCCTAAAATGCATGTTTTTTGAAGAGGGTTTATGATGAAGTTGATGTAACTGACCCATAAAAGAGAGGGTTAACATTCTACTAATACAATGACATCCTTTACTTTGAGAAATAGTGATATTTAACTAACATCATTTCTTTACACTGTTTCACTGAAACTTCACATCAGTGGGCTCCCTTGTGCCTGTAATATTGTAAATTAGCTATTTTTTAATATATGTACTGAATTACACACATATGTCTTCATGGTCCCTGTTGAGACTGATAATTCCAGCTATTCTGTATGAGTTTGTGATAGCCAAAACAACCATAAAATATAACTAAACAGCCAGTAGGTTATCAGAAGTGAATAAAAACAAACAAGAGGGGGGTGGGGTGGTTAAAACACATTTTGACTCAATTTTTAGTTGCCAATTTCTAGATTTCCAATGAGTTTTATTTTTTATCATGTGTAGTGAGCTCAATGCTGATCCCCAAAGATACTCATTTCCTGGAAAAGCAGATCATTGTGCATATTATAGCTTCTTCTATGTGTCATGATCTGATCCTATTTTTTAATTAAAATACCACATCATCAATATTGAGGAACATTTTTAAATCCAGCCATCCAAAGCAACAGTTGTTTTCATTCACAACTTCTAATCCTTATTTTCATGAATCTGTTTCTGTAATCTAAAGATTACCTTCTAATCTTATCTTCATGAATCTGTTTCTATTTCATGGTATCTACACACAACAAGCTGCTCACTTGGTATTGCAGAGATATAGGGGTGACTATCGCTCACCTAAAGAACCTTCCTAGGAAAATGAAAGCAGGTGCCTTTAGAAACTGGTAAAAGGTTTTGGGCACAGCTCAGTTTCTAGAAGGCAGATCAACAATCATTCCACAGGGTCCTTTGCAGCAAAGGCAGCTTTCTGTTGCTCCAAAGGGCACTAAAGTAAGAAAAATGCTCTAGTCTCATTCTTGAAATATTAACACTACAGAGACAGAAGCCCAGAGCACAAAGACAGAATCTTGGCTATATATCAGCAGCCTCTCCAGGAAGAGAATCCTTCATCACATTATGTACACCCACCAAAGGTTCCAGACTATTGGGAAAATTTAGATTCTAAAAATATATGTGGCAAAAATAAACTGCGAATAAACATAAATATAAACATTATACATGCAATGACTAAAAACATGGGGGAAATGAGGCAACACGCCTCCAGAGTTCTTAAGAGGAAAATTCCACTCTGGTAGGGCATTTGGGACATATATATATACTCCAAAAGTTATACTTCCTTTACCTGAAATTCAAATTTATCTTGATGCCTTGTATTTCCATTTACCAAATCTAGCAACCCTACCCTATTGTACCAAAAATTAATTTAGCCTTAGGTATGCAAGCACACATGCCCACACACATACACATTAAATGGGATGAAAGGAGCTGCCCATCTTCAGAAAATTAATGCCATTATCACTCAACAATAATGATAACTTACTTCTGCATCAAAACATCACAAACTTCATTTTCTCATGTTTTATGTCAACAGACTTCTCACCCTGTCTTTTAACAACTCCAGTCCTTTTATGTTGTTTCCCTAGAAGGGAAGAAACTGGTGAACTGTCCCTCTTTTCTCTTAGCTTAAAATATCCTTTTCTAGATACCTAGGAATCATCTCTGAATATATTAAGCCTCCTTCAGCTGCTGGCCTAAGTGCCTTAATCAGCATTCCTATTTCAACAAGGATTTATTAAGCAGTTATTATATTCACACATTAACTGTGTTATCAAGATGTGGATGTCCCCATTTTTTTAATTAGAAAAGGAAAAGTCTGAGTGGAAGAAATGTGCACTGTTTGCTCAGCTAAAAAGAAGTCCTCAGTCCCCTTGCATCTTTCAGCACCGCCTTTTGTGATATCGGCTGTCCACGGCCTCCCTGCCCCTGTCACCAGCCTTGCCTCTCCACCTCAGGCGAGTTGCCTGCAACCCTTTGCCTCTGCCCAGTTAACCAGTCTCAGCCTTCCCTGACCACCGCCCACACCTGTTACACATTCACAGTGCCGCATACTTTTTTATTGCAGTCTGCCCGTCAACACTGAGGTGAGTCTTTAATGAATGTCTGCCTTCCCCTCAAGACTATAATATCCTTGTGAACAGGACTGCAGGACCTAACACAGGGTCTAACATAGGGTAGGCAGTCAGTAAATATAATGCAATGAAGAAACTGAAGTGTGAAAGAAAGACTTCTTGAACACTAGCCTGGAGGGACTTTCCAGGCACGATGTGCAGTTTCCATTTCAAGGCCTCAAAGAGAACTTTCCTTTGCCATCAACAGAGTGAGCATGATCTGTGAATGGATGGCTGGAGATCATATTAACCCTGGTACAAGAAGGGCATTTTCACCTTTGAAATCTGCTGGTGAATTTGCCATAATTTCACATCTTTTTTACTCATTGCCTATGCAGGGAGATAAAGCGTATATCTCACTGCCCCTATCACTTAGCACTCGGAAAATCTTGAAGTGAAGTTCTAAGTTAACACACATAAAGAAGGAGAAATAAAGGAGGGTGGAAGTGAGGGAGCGAGGGTGGAAGGAAGGAAAGTTTAAAAAGAAAATCCTTTAAAAACTCACCTCCCTACCCTGCCTTGTCTGAATATTTTATTTTCACTAAGCTATCTTAGGAACCGAAAGCTAGAAAATGACTATTTCTAGATGTGTTAATGGCCTCATGATTTCCTTTCATGTTCTGCAGCAGCAGCTAAATTAGCAGTAAGCACTTTTATGTTCATTGGCTAAGTTGGACCTTTTTAAGAACCTAAAATTGAAAACAGAACTTAAATTTCAAATAGTCTGACATGGCAAGTCTATTTTCATTCAAAATACTTCTTATACAAAAAGATGCAGGAGGCGTTTATCCTGACCAAAAATGCTATAATTTCATATTTTTTGGCATATGAGACTGAAATATGTTTAGATACTTAGGTTTTCAATGTTGGAATATTTTTCTTAAGTCTATTCTTTCCAGTATTTAAGATTTATTAACAAAAATGTGTAACAGTACTCATCTAATTCTTAGATTTATTATTTAAATATGACCACCCTAGACTTTATAAACAATACTGACTACTAAATCTTTGTATTTCTTTCAAGAGCCACAAAGTTTTTTTTAACCAAATACATCACGAACTTGACTTGGACACACATTCTACAGATAAGTTAGCCAGAGCCTCTTTAGAATTAATGTTGGAAGTAAGCCTAAGTCATATCAGTAGGACACAGTCAATGCAATAAAGATATTCATTCAAAGAGTACCCCCAAATGACAAATTCATTCAGAATGTTTTAATCAGTTAAATGTTCCCTGGCATTGGCACATGCAAGTGATCCATCAAGGAACTGAATGACTAATCCACTAAACTTCCCTGTAACTCTTCTCAATCTTTCCTGAAAGCAAAAAGAAGAGTAATTTAAATGAACCAAGTGTTTAAGATCTATTGAGTTTCCACAAAAGGCTAGCTACTGAGCAGAACATTTGTAGAAATTGGCCCAGCTTCCAGACTTGCTTTTAAAAAAAAAAGCTAAATATATTACATTGAATCCTTAAATAATGTTTAAAGTTTAATTTAATATATAGGAATATAGCAGTGAAATGACAGTTTACTTTCAGTTTTTAATTACCCTATAAGTTGAATAACTTATTCAAATAAGAATTTCTGGTCCTATGCATGCATTGAATAATATTAATCACTTCACTTTGAGGCATAAATTAAGCCACAGACTTGGTCAAGTTCCTTCTAATGGATTCTCTAATTAGGATATTCAGTTTTGTGGTGGAAAGAGGTCTTGAGGAATAACCTCAATCCATCAACCTTTTTCAACCACAACACTTTGTAATAGTTCCACCTCCAGCTCAGAAGTTTTATGAAAATATTTGTATAGGTCTGTATAGAGAATGTACAGTGAGAAGTTATTTGCATAGACCATATATTCTTCTGCGTAGGCCATATATTCTTCTGCAAACCACTTTAATGATGACAGAGTGAGCATTAGCTAAAAATATTAAGCATAGGTTGAGCCAAAAAAAAGTATCTGAGAAGAAATTATCTGAAATACTAGAAGTTAGACGAGGTGAAATACATAGTTCTTCTGTCTTAAGTAGAAGGTCTAAAAGCTAGAAGCAAGAGTTCAAGTTTCTGGCTATCACTTCCTAAACTACAACTAAAGTCAACGAACCAATACAAGAGTCCAGCACATAATTCCAAGATGTGACAGGTCCAAGGATGGTTTTCATGCCTGGGTTCCATAAGGAGCATCTCTATTATTCACTAATATGCTCATAAGTGCAGAACTGTTTAGATCTGTCTTCCCTGCTCCCTATAGCTAATTCCTTCCTTGCCTAGCACTAGTTCAACCAATAAAGACTAAGTTAGCACAAAATGGCAAGAAGTGCCCCTTGTTTTTTAAGATATTAAAAAAAATTGTAAAGTAGTCTTAGTAGAAGTTTACATTAAGAATTATGTCTATTATTTAAAAACTCACATTATTAGTTAAAAAATTGTGATTGCTAAAGTTTTCTTATGAATTTCTTATGATTCTGTGTAGTTCATTTAGCATCTAGTATAAATACAGAGTATCTAACAACCTCTAAATCTAGAAGGGCGGACAGTACATCCATCTACTCCTTAGGGACCAATGAGAGCAGGTAGCTTCCAGAAGTTAATTGCTTAGAAATGGTAACATAGTTCACATAGAGGGCTGGAAATCCTGACAAATGATTGCAAATATGGGCTTCCCTTAAGCAGGATGATGACCAAATGTTTAACAAAGTGCATGGTAGAAGAGCAACCAAACAAAACAGATGCTCACTCAGAATGATGCTGGCCTACAGCAGTACCTTATGGTACCTGCCTGCAGAATACAGGTCCCACAAGGATGGACAGACCCTCAGGATACCAGAATCAATCCTAAAGAGCAGAACACTCAAGATCCCACAGCCTGGCACCTGTACATTTTTCTGGCCTTTTTAAAGCTTCACTGTTTAGCTTTTTCTGAGTTTATATGCATAAGAATCTTTACAATAACACCCTTCTTCCCCACAAGCTAAGTTACTGGAAATGAGGCTGTATTCCATGCAATCTAAGAACATAACTAAAATAGAATGTCAACAAAAGAGAAAAACATAAACCCAGTTTTCAATGATTCAAGCTGTATTTTTGTATATCCCACTATGAATGTAACAATTTTACAGATGTTAAAAAATATTATATTTGTAGTCATGTAAATTGGTACAAACACTTTGGAAAATTATTTGTCACTATTTATTAAAATCAAACCTTTGTATACCCATCCTACCACCCAGAAATTTGATTTCAAGATATATATACAACAAAAATGCATACATATGTTCTCAAAGGACACATGTAAGAATGTTCATGGCAGCACTATTCATAAAAGCCAAAAATTAGAAACAACCCACAAGCCCATCAACTGAAGAATAGATACATAAATTGTGGGGTACAATAGGACACTCTAGAGTAGCAGTTGCCAACATTTGTGGCACCAGGGACTGGTTTTGTGGAAGACAATTTTTCCATGGACCAGGGGGTGGAGATGGTTTTGGGATGATTTAAGCACATTACATTTATTGTGCCCTTTATTTTTATTATTATTACATTGTAATATATAATGAAATAATTATACAACTCACCATAATGAAGAATCAGTGGAAACTCTGAGCTGTTTTCCTGCAACTACACAGTCCCATCTGGGGGTGATAGGAGACAGTGACAGATCATCAGTCATTAGATTCTTATAAGGAACACGTAACCTAGATCCCTCACACGCACAGTTCACAATAGGGTTTCGCGCTCCTATGAGAATCTAATGCCGCCACTGATCTGACAGGAGGCAGAGCTCAGGTGGTAATGTGAGTGATGGGGAGTGACTGTAAATACAGATGAAGCTTAGCTCGCTTGCCCACCACTCACCTCCTGCTGTGGGGCCTGATTCCTAACAAGCCACAGACCGTACCGGGGTTTGGGAACCCCTGCTCTAGAGCCATGAGAATGAATGAACCACAACTACACAGAAAAAAAATGGATCAACCTCTCAAACATAATAGGAGTCAAAGAAGCCAGAAAGGGAAGAGAACATTCTGTATAATTCCATTGGTTAAGAGTTCCAAAATGGGAGAAATTAATCTATGGAGTTAGAAGTTAGGATAATTATCTTTGAGATGAGGTAGTGATGGGAAAAGGGTACCTTGGGGCTTTCTAGGAGGTTCTCTTTTATTATCTAGGTTCTGGTTACACAAGTATGTTCACTTTGTGAAAATTCATAGAGTTGTACACTCTTGTGTGTAGTTTTCTGTGTGCATGTTGTCCCTCAATAGAAAGCTTACGTTGAAATAACTAAGCAAACAAAAAAAATCCCTCAATAAGTGATGTGACAGCAGCACTTCACTGTTCACAGTGCCCTTTTCCAACCATTGTCTCCATGGTAATCACAATGCCATGTGGTAAATAGGTTGCACAGTGTCATCTCCAACTTACAGATACAATAGGAATGCATAAACCAGGTATTCTATGTAGGTTACCTCATTTTACCCTCTAAACAACCCCATGAGGAGGCTATTATTCCTCTATGAGTTACTTATACAGCTAGTAAACAGAAAACACCACATCTCTCTGCCTTCGAAGCCCATTTTTTTCCAATAAAACTTGCTGGGCCTATAAGAAACTTAAGGCTCTGAAAAGTTAAGTAGCTTAACTAAGTTAATTTAGTCATGATGACTCGTTAACAGGATACATACACATATATTCATAAATCAACTATCCGCTCCATGAGAATAGGAACTGTGCATATTTTTTATGAATAATCAAATTAGAACACTCAGAACTCAGAAATATGGACCTTAAAAGTTTGAAAAGTTTGAATAGTTCCTTTCAATAAAAGTCTCCAAGATAAAAAAAAAAAAGGGAAATAAAGTGATAGCAGGTTGTTCTCCAGCTCACCAGTGTTATCACCTCGAATAAGTCACTTTGCCCCTGTGAACACCAGTTTGCTCATTCATCAAGTGAAACTTTAAACCATATGACTTCACTGATCTCTTCAAAGTATAATATAGTAGGCCCACATGACCACACAGAAGACCCCAAAAATGAATATTAAATGGCAAAACACTTTTGAAAAGTGACTAACACTAACAGCATTACTCTTGCAACTTTCAACTCACTAAATTTCCCTGGGAAAGAAGGGATATTACCAGTGTTAAATTGAGTCTCATTCATTTTTTCTTCTAAAACTACAAACAACTATGACCAGTACCTGGGTGGCAAGATCATTTGTACCCCAAACCTCGGCATCACACAATATAGCCAGATAACAAACCTGTACATGTATCCCTTGAATCTAAAATAAAAGTGGGAAGACAATAAAAATAAATATAAGTCCAAACAAAGCAGACATTTTTGCACTCACAGGTATCCATGGGGTGCAAAGTATCGCAATTAAGATGTACGAAACTTGGCCAAAACTGAAACCTCCCTCCTTAACTACCCTGGCATCATCTTTCTTTTAGGTAATTTAAGATACACTATAGATGTACAAAAAAAAATTCTATTTTCAGTATAAAACTGTCATCAACTCCAGGAGGTCAGAGGTTATTTGAGATTATACTTTGGGTAATTTAACAATGAAAGTGGAAATTTGTATATTTAATGATTTGCAGGAATTTGCTCCAAACAAATAGATAATTGATAACTGATACAGGTTTTTCAGCTATGTGTGACTGCACTACCTACGGAATGTGTTTTATCTTGTTTTTTTCCTCAAACTCACACATTCTGTGGATAAGCACACACACACACATACGTATTACATATACAATATGTAGGAGAGGGAAGAAAGGGAGGAATGTTGGTTCTATATGATTTCCATAGCCACATCTATATATGCAATTTAAATTTCATGGTCCATCCCCTCCTTTCCAGAATCTGCACTAAGGCAGATGCTCAGTCATGGAGAGAGGAAAAGATGGGGTATTTCTTTGTTATGGTATCCATTAGGGCAGCAACGCCCTATACATCTAATCTATAGAATTCTGTAGAATTGAAATCATGAAATCACAACTCTCTACATTTCTCTCTGTCCAAATTAAAGAAGCATGTAGCTATACATTCACATCTACAGGTATGAATATCACTAAACAAGCAAGTCTCACTTAAGCCTATTTCTTACAAATTTTAGGATATGATAAGGGATGTTAATTATTAGGCTACAGGGAGAGCCACTTACTTATGATATAGCTAAAATGTAGTAAAAATGTTCTAATATTACTATCACTGCTACTACTAAACTACATTTATAGGGTCCTTTTTATTGTCCAGGTGCTGTGCTAAATGATTGTATGTAGATCACATTCAATCCTGGCAGTTTACGTCTTCATTTTATACATGCAGAAAGTGAGATGGTGCCAGCTTTTTTGCCCCTCCAGTATGACACACCACCTTTCTGTGCCCTGCTCTGTGCCTTGAGAAGCTGACCTTTAGGGACCCTGGTCTTGTGTTTCTCTTGGGCTTCCACCAATGGGAAGAAATAGCTGAATAGAGAAAGATCAGGATACTGGTTCCTCTGTGATCTTTCCTTGCCAGCTTATGGTCTTGAGCTGTCCTACCCATGGCCACAACTCCTGTTGGGAGGTTCCTTACCAGAGCTGTAGCTCTCACTAGTTCTGAAAATGAATGTGTCTCTCTCCTCTGGCCACTCAAGGCTTAGGGTGGCAGTGATTTTCTTCTGCTGCCAGTCTCTAGGTGATTCACAATCATGTGGGTGGGTTCCGTTCCCACCCACACCTTCGTTGAGTGTGTTGTCTGTTTGATCAAGATCGTAAGACAGTGAAGACATAGAAGTAAGGAAGTAGTTCACCTTGGATTGGGTGAATCCAAGGGCCATAAAAAGGAGTGGGTGAATGAGCACATGCTAACTGTGGAGAGTTGAGGCAGAAGGACAAATTCATTTTAAGTCATTGGAGCAACTGCCTGTGGAGGTTCTATGTAGCCAACTTCTCTATCAGACTTAAACCAAGTGAAAACAAAAGCTTTTCTGATGCAGCGTCATCAGTCCTAATTTCCTATGTTGCCTCAAAAACAGGAGGCCCCCATGATGAGAGGAAGTAGTTCGAGTGGGCAATAAATACATTGGTACCTAACAGGCTAGAGATGAAGGGACAAATAATGATTTTACAAAGGTAGCAGCAACTTGGACATCTATGAAACCATCACTGTTTCT
Source organism: Homo sapiens (assembly GCF_000001405.40). Classification (NCBI taxonomy): domain Eukaryota; kingdom Metazoa; phylum Chordata; class Mammalia; order Primates; family Hominidae; genus Homo; species Homo sapiens. Next base: position 197,998,427 of record NC_000002.12, on the reverse strand, counting down.
GCCTCCCTACACACACCCCTCACACATTTAGCACTCATGATCATAAAGTCTCCAGGGAACCAAGCATCATTCTAAGAAGAATGTTAGTTGAGAATATTGCATTCGATGTCTGGCTCTTCCCAGTTATCATTTCTTATCCCAAACTTTCCACAGTATCGTTCAACACATACACATACACACATGCACACAGGCGCACAAGCAATCTCATATCACACACACACACACACACACACACACACACACACACACACATAGCTCCATTCTTCTCAAGGAAACTCCCAGGAAAAACTGAATAAATAGGCACAGTTTCTTCTCCTCTGGCCTCAGTTTTCAGTTTCTGTCTCGCTCCATATCACTCTCCACCACTCCCACCCACTAAGCCCTCATGCTTTCTCCTCCATTTGCCTTATCAAATTCTGAGCCCTTGGCAACTCCTTTACCATAAAGGCTATAACTGAAAAGAGTTAATACCCAGAAGGTATTTATATTTTAACATAAAACAATAATCCTCAATCTAAAGTGTTACTAAATGAAACATTAAATATAGAATTGAATGAATCAGCCTCAGGGAACTTTTTGGGAGGCAAAGGGACCCTTTTTGCAGCTCCTAAAATGTCACCACATGGGCCACAAGGTAAGGCCCTCTCTCTGCTGTTTCCTCTTTCTAAAGGCTCCACTCCAAGGGTTCATAAAATGGAAGATAAAGGTCATGATTGGCATGCTTCTTCAGACCTATAATGCATCACTTGAGGTTCTAATCTAGTTAAATTCCAGAAACTAGGTAGCTCCTTCACACAGAATGGGAGATATCTGGGTTCCCACACTGCTGGGCTTGTCTACCTGAAACAGCCATCAGTGCGTGCAGGGCCATGAAAAGGCCTCTTTGGGTGTGAATTGTGGGGACCAGCTCGATGAACAAATAACCATTTCTACTACACATTGTCTCAGAACCAGAAGAAGGTGGTGTGGCTGCAGGTTATGATAACATAGTCATCACCTGTCACTTCTAATTATCAGAAGCCGACCTCAGCAGATCACAAGAAACCACTTGGCTGCCACTTGAGCTTTGACCACTTGAGCTTTGAGTTCTTGCTTTCATTTCATAGGAGTTATTGCATTTAGGATAGCAAGCAAAAGACAGAGCCAAACAAAGAAGCAGATACCAGCAGCCAGCTGGGCTCACGCCCCCGCCCCATTAAGGGGGAAGAGAGAAAATGGGAGCGGACTCTGTGGACTGTGCCACTTACGCTGTGCACAGATGGGAAGGAAGAAATGCTGGGATAAGCCAGCTATACCTGTTGGCTCCTGCCCTCCCCACAGTAGTGCTACACTCTCAGGATTCCGTGAGCACAGGAAAACGACACTAAAAATGTTTGACAATTGAGTCTGGTTCAGGTAATAGGACAAAGCACAAGCTATCTCTCTCCTTCCCTCTCCCGCCACCTCACCCTCAACACTTGTCCAAGCAAAACTCATTCAAAATGTGGTGTAGTGAGGACTAGGAGAGCCCTGGTACGCTAATGCCACCCTAATGTCATTAGTGCAGCCTTGACAGCAAGCAATGACCTCCCCTCCTCCATGCAATTTGGGTTGCTTTACTAGTAAATTTAGAGGAGTTAGAAAAACAGGATGTACTACAGCCTGCATTCTGATAACTAGTGATTTGTTCAGCTGATTATTTCTCTGTGAGGGGAGTGTTATTTTTCTTTCTTTTAACTGTATTATGTAAGCCTGAAAAAAGCACGCTCACCAAGGAGATTCTGCAGAAGTATAGCTGCTATGCACATAACTGATCTTCACTGGCTTTTTTTTTTAATTAATAGACTTTATTTTTAGAGCAGTTTTAGGTTTACAGAAAATACAGTGCTCCTACAATATTCACCTCTCCCCACACTGCACAATTTCTCCTATTATTAACCTCTTGCATTCTGGTGGTACATTTGTTACAACTGATAAACCAATATTGATACATTATTATTAACTAAATTCCAAAGTTTACAATAGAGTTTTCTTTGTGTTATGTAGTTCTATGACTTTTGACAACTATATAATGTCATTTATCTACCATATCCTCAGTATCATACAGAATAGTTTCACTACCCTAAAAATGCCCTGTGCTGTTCCTCAGATTTTTCCTTAGCCCTCTCATCTCTCTGTGCATTCTTCAAATGACCTAGTCCACCCCTGTGACTTCCACTACCATGCAGCACCAATGCCTTCCTAACCAGCATTTCTGGCCTGGATCTCTCTTCAAACTCAACAGAATTCATCATCTCCTTCCATCTTTCTTCTCCCTCCTTTCCCTTTCCCTCTTGCCCGTCACCTTGAACAAACCTGCTCTTCCTCCAATGCCCCGTCTCTTCACACAACATGATGTATGCAGCCCCCTCCCTGTCGCTGCAGGCATAAACCTTGCAATCATCCCCACTTCCCAAATACAAAAATGTTTGCAGAGGCACTTGTTTCTCCCCCAAATCACATTTCCTGTGCATAAACTCATGTGACAATTTAACCTTTCAACTCTCATAAGATGACCATTTGTCACTAAGACAGAAAGTTCTTGCTTTCATTTCATAGGAGTTATTGCATCTAGGATAGCAAGCAAAAGACAGAGCCAAACAAAGAAGCAGATACCAGCAGCCAGCTGGGCACACGCCCCCCCATTAAGTGATTTCCTCCTGTACACTGGCCACCCAGGGCATGAATTTAAAATGTATGCCTCCACAAAAGTACCACTGTACCACACCATGAACATGGCTGACGCTGAGATTGTTGACTGCTCAAATGCCAGGGATTCCCTGGTCTTGGCCTTCCCATGCTGTGCTCTCCGCCCAGGGTTGCCTTTCTTCTCCTTGATTATGGAACTATTGCCTCATAAACCCTCAGGACCCACCTTGGGTCACCCCATTAGGCCCCTTTGTGGTATTCTCATTATACCATGTGTCTCCTGTCTGACATGTATATCATGTGGCAGTTTTTATTTACTTGTTGCTTTCCTTTCCATTGGATGGCGATAGCAAGCTCCTGGAGCAGGGGGACTTTGTGTTTCATTTCAGATTCTCCAACACCTGGAACAATGCCTGTGACACATAATATAGCAACTCAACCAATACTTTGAAGGAGTGGAAGAAGAGAAAAGGAGGGAAAGGAAAGAATGAACAGTCTGGTTCTCCAAATGGGTCCATTCCTAGGAGATTCATAGGAAATAACAGAAAAAGCTTTTTACCTAAAATGGTAGCACATGACACTACATTAATAACACAGAGAAGGCTGACATTATAAAACAAAACAGAGCAAAATGATAACACATCTGCACCAGAAAGAACAAAAGTTAGTACCTGTAATTTACTGAAGTCATGGATATGTGCCATATGTTAAGACTGCAGAATTCCACTAAACTCATTTAAAACCCAAAACTTATGGGGCAAGCATTGGAGAAAGGCTTTGAGAAATGACAGCTTAATCACTTAATCCCTTGCTTCTGCATGGAGATGACAGGTTCCTCCTTTCTTCACTGGTTCTCTGATTAGATAAGAAAACTGATGCCTAGGACACGTCTGCTTTGGGGATCACATACATAAGAAAGAAAATGGCTAGAGGTTTATTCTAAACTAAATTCAGAAATTAGGCCTTCACAATTAAAATACATTTAAAAGTATAAACAGTTAGATGTGAAATTATTTATGCCAAGGAAACTACTCTACTGAACTCACCTGAAATTAAACAAGAATGTTTCTAGTGTGAACTTTAATTTAGGCACACCTTACCAAATGTTGAAATATTTTCATTTACCTAATTTAGGTTTTAGCTACTTAAAGCTAAGAGATACTTGGATAAATTTCATGGAATTCATGAGTTATCCTATTTGGCCTGTGTTTCTACATTGGGAAAATGTCAAAGAAAGCATATCTTATATCCCCAAATATGAAGTAATCCCAAATATAAAGCAATCTTTCCCATTTCTGACTCAGATGACTTTCTTAAAAATGTGTTTATATTTACCAAAATATACAAACTTTTAGGGATATGGACTGCATATGATGTTTGTTACAGGATGTTAAAATACAACCAATTCAGCCCCAGTTTCTGCTAAAGTTCCTAGCCCATAGCCAGCATATTTCACAGTGAGGTGTGAAAGGACTGCGTAAAGATTGCAGTTTCCTAGATTTTACCCTTCTCCTCATCTCTACTGAGGGCATAAAAGTCTAGGTAGTTGGAGATTACAGAAGACTATTTGGAGAAAGTTACTGGTGTGCTATGAGTCTCATCTTCCCCGCAAGAAGAATTTGGGGAAGAATTTGTCCCTCACCTCAAGCCTAGAGTAAGGAGCTTCAGTGGAATTTTTAGAGCTCACATGCTTCCTGGTTGTGGTGGAATGGCGACTAACTCACACTCTTGAGAACCCTAAAGGGTAAGTGACTCACTGAAGCAGCCTAGGGCAGCAGAGAAAAGCCTGTGGTTTGAGAAGTAACTGCACTCCCAACAATGGGTAGAAGATCCTGTGGACCAAAGAGGAATTCCACTCATGTGCTGGATATATCTTGTCTACCACTGTAGACCCAGCCTCCACCTGTTACTATCCTGCTCTATGCCCAAGAGACTGACCTTGATGGAAATTATCACAGACTTCCAGCTACATTTGTCCAACAGGAGGCACCTGCAGAAGACAAGAACAAGGAAGGGGAGAGAGAATGGGGTATTTATCCCCCCAGTTTTCTCCCTGCTGGGTTAGCACAGGTTCTAGAGAAGTTGACAGCTTCTGCTGGGCAGTCCTCTCCTGCAGATGTAGCTCTCTCTAGGCTCTCTGTCCTCATGCCTTCTCCTTGTCCCCTCAGGCCCAGGGGTGATAATGACTCTACACTGTTACACAAGGCACTTCAACATCCCTTGTTAGTATCTCAACACTGCCCACACTTCTGAGAATAATCTCTTCACCAAGCTCTCCTCAGTTCCTCCACTGGAGTGTGCCATCTGTATGCTTCCCTGACCCTGATGATGGAGCACACAGGGACCAGCACAGGGTCACCAGAAATCCTACCCAAGAATGCTGATGCTCAACAACAAAAACAAACAATCTAATTAGAAAGCAGGCAAAGGACTTGAATAGACATTTCTCCAAAGAAGATATACAAATGGCCAAAAAGCACATGAAAAAATGCTCAACATCACCAGTCACTAGGGAAATGCAAATCAAAACCGCAATGAGATACAACTTCACACCCATTAGGATTGCTATTATAAAACAAACAAATAAAAACAGAAAAGTACAAGTGTTGGCTAGGGTATGCAGAAATTGGAACCCATGGGAATGTAAAATGGTACCGCCACTATGGAAGACAGTGTGACAGTTCTTCAAAAAATTAAACATGGAATTGTCATACAATCCAGCAATTACACTTCTGGGTATATACCCCAAAAAAGTGAAAACAGGGACTCAAACAGATATTTGCATACCTATGTTCACAGAAGCATTATTAGTAACAGCTAAAAGATGGAAGTAACCCAAGTACCCTTCAAAAGATGAACCAATAAACAAAATGCGGATATTATCCAGCCTCCAAAAACAAGAAAATTTTGAACACATGCTACAACATGAATGAAAACAGCCAGTCACATAAAGACAAATATCATATGATTTATTTTATGTGAGGTTACAGAGTAGTCAGATTCATAGAAACAGAAAGGAGAATGGTGGTTGCCAGGAGCTGGAGGGAGGAGCAAATGGAGGGTTAGTGTTTAATGAGTACAGTTTCAGCGTTCAGTATGGGGAAATGAAAAAGTTCTGAAGATGTGTGGTGTGATGGTTGCACTACACTATAGATACACTTAAAATCACACAATTATAACTTTAAAATACTTGAAATTGCCAGGCATGGTGGCTCATGCATGTAATTTCGACACTTTGGGAGGCTGAGGAGGGGGGTTGGTTGAGCCCAGGAGTTTGAGACCAGCCTGGGCAACATGGCAAAACCCTGTCTCTACAAAAAACACAAAAATTAGTTGGGCATGGTGGTGTGTGTCTGTGGTCCCAGACACCCAGGAGGCTGAAGTGGGAGAATCACCTGAGCGCATGAGGTCAAGGCTGCAGTGAGCCATGATTACTCCACTGCACTCCAGCCTGGGTGACAGAGTGAGACCCTGTCTCAAAAATAAATTAATTTAATTTAATAGTTAAAATGATGAATTTGTAATATATATATTTTGCCACAGTTTTAAAAATGAATGCTGATTGGGAGATATACCTAATGTTAAATGACAAGTTGGTGGGTGCAGCACACCAACATGGCACATGTATACATATGTAACTAACTTGCACATTGTGCACATGTACCCTAAAACTTAAAGTATAATTAAAAAAATCTTGCTAATCATAAAAAAAAAAAATGAATGCTGAGAAGCAAGCAAGGGGCCTCATCAAAAGGAAACTGAAGTTGTGTGCAGAGCTGAGCAAAGCATCAGGAGAGACGAACCAGGAGAAATGTTTTCACCCATGGAAGACAAGCACAGATGAGCGATCTCCGGTGAGGGAGAGATTTCCAGGCCCCACAGAAGACAGTGGGTGCTTTCAGCTCCAACCTCTCCTCACTCTGATGACATACCCCACCATGCTTCAAGGGGAGTAAGCTAGGAGAGGATGAGAGGAAGTAGAAGCACTGAGTGGGAAAGAGAAGGGCTTCTCAGCACATCTCCCACTAATGAGGGCTCGTCTGCAGCAGTCCTGCACTGGGAGAAAGGGGAAGCTTTAACTTCAATAAATTCTGAAGTTTGGAATAAATATACTAAGCAGACTGTACTTCCAGTGGAAGTAGAAGTGACTGGAAGAACCATGAGGCTGTGTCTAAATTTCAAACCAGAACAATAATAAGTAGGAGCACAGAATAAATTTAAAAGAACAAAAGTGGGTGACAAAAATAAAGTTGCTTTATAATGACCATCTGTATTTGTCAGAGTTGTCCAAACAAACAGAACCAAAGGAGGTTATATATGCACAGAGAGGAAAGGAGAGAATGAGAGAGGGAAGTGGAGAGAGAGATTATGAGTAATTGGCTCATGCCACTATAGAGTTTGAGAAATCCCATCATCTGCCATCTGCAAGCTGGAATCCCAGGAAAGCCAGTGGTATTCCCAGTCTAAGTGTGAAGGCCTGAGAACCAGGGGAGCCAAATTATAAATCCCAGTCCAAGGACAGGAGAAGATGAGATGAGAGGTCCCAACTCAAGCAAGAAGGCACGAAGCGAAAGGGTGAGTTTCTCTTTCCTTTGTTTTTGTTCTATTCAGGCCCTCAATGGATTGGATGATGCCCGACTTCACCAGGAGGGAAGTCTTCTGAGTCCACCAATTCAAATGCTAATCTCATCCAGAAACACCCTTACAGACACACTCAGAAACAATGTTTAATCTGGGCACCCGATGGCCCACTCAAATTGACCGTAAAATTAACCTTCACTCCCTCCAGGATTAATACTTGTTCAAACCTAATGGTTATATAATTAATTTAATTATCCATATTCTATAACACATCCTATAAAATTATATATTAATCTTGGAATGCTATAAATTCCATGAGTTTTATCCAGACTCTACATTTCCACTTAAACTTTAAGTCATCAAAGAGTTTTCCAAAAAGTACACCTTTGCATCAGTCTAAACTGTTAGAGAAACATTTTCTGAATCTACCCTGATATGGTTTGGCTGTGTCCCCACTCAAATCTCATCTTGAATTGTAGCTGCCATAATCCTTATGTGTCATGGGAGGGACTCTGTGGAAGGTTATTGAATCATGGGGGTGGGTTTTCTCATGATAGTGAATAAGTCTCATGAGAGCTGACAGTTTTATAAAGCGCAGTTCCCCTGAACACTCTCTCTTGCCTGCCGCCATGTAAGATGTGCCTTTGCTCCTCCTTCACCTACTGCCATGATTGTGAGGCCTCCCCAGCCATGTGGAACCACACTTAGGTATTTCTTCATAGCAGTATGAAAATGGACTAATACATACCCTCACTGGAAATCTTACCATACACCTTGAATTCCAGTCATATTAGGTTAGCTTTCCTTTTGTCCTGAGGTGTATGTTTGTAATATCCACAAAATATCTGCTGCATTGCTTTAAAAGGCATGTTTAAAATTATATCCAGCACCTGCAATTGCAAACTCATATCTCTAGGAATAATAACAGAAACTGTATTCCATTTATTTGCCTCCTTTTTTTTACCCATCATGTCAGCTACATCTCTATGAGCAAATAAAAATAGCTCTGATGAGCTCGTTTAGGTCTAATGTGTCTTCCTCAAGTGGTCTGCTGCTCAAAATAAGGTAATTGAGCAGCGCCCTGTAACATGAGAGACTCTATAAAGACTCCAATATAAGGTGACTTCCATAGGCCTATACAGGAACTGAAAATTAAATAACATTCCAGACTCAATACTATCTTTAGCAAAATGGGATTCTCCAACTGTAATCTATTACCAGTAGGCACTATCTGTACATTTTCCTTCATTTGTATATTAGTCTCTGTGTATCCTAAGTAATACCTGGGAGAATCTCCAAGTGGACTCCAGGTGCAAGTCTGAGGGGTTATTTCTGCTTAGGAAGGTTTTGATTCTCTCCTGAGCAAGCTGTTTTCTAAATCGCAGCTATTCACAAAGGCATTTTACAAACTCCACTGAAAGTAATCCATCCCAAAACACTTTTTTTTTTGTTTTTTGTTTTGTTTTGTTTTGTTTTGAGACAGAGTCTCACTCTGTTGCCCAGGCTGGAGTGCAATGGTGCGATCTCAGCTCACAGCAAACTCCGCCTCCTGTGTTCAGATGATTCTCATGCCTCAGCCTCCAGAGTAACCAAAACACTTTTAAATGTATATTATGATCTTAGCACCAAGCTCACTTGGTCAGTTTTGGAAACCATCTCTTTGAAATGCAAATTATCTAGCCTGGAAGTCAAGGCCCTCCCTAAACAAACTTCTACCATTCCTCTGGTATTTCAAATCCTACTCATCCCCTCAGATCTAGTTCAAATTCCTGGTCCTCATCCCTCAGAAAGTCAAGCTAGGAGAAGTGGTGTCTCTTTCTCTAAGCCACCAAAACATTAACTTAACATGGGCTTGCCTTATGTAGAATACTCCATGTCTTCCTTTTTTATCTCCCCAACTAGGTCAAAAGCAACTCAAAGGCAGAGACGTTTCCCCAATGCTCAGTATGGTGCCCTACACCTAGCAAACTTCTATAAATAATTACTGAATGAATGAATGAATGAATAGTAATAAGAACAGCCATCATAATCTGAAAATGTTTTCATCAAATATTTTGTTTTACGCATTTTGTAGGTTCATTCAAAAAACAAGAATTTCTACTCTTCATTGTTTATTATAGTTATTTTTTGCAAGTCCCCTAGTTAGTTCTTTCACTCAATAGGATATAATTTATCCCCTTGGGTTTGAACTATATAATCCATCCTAGAAATTACACTTCACAAAAAATAAGTGATTCAATGAGATATCACCTTACTCCTGCAAGAATTACTATTATTGAAAAGTCAAAAGACAATAAATGTTGGTGTCAATATGGTGAAAGGGGAACACTTATACACTGCTGGTGGGAACATAAATTAGTACACCCTGTATGGAAAACAGTACAGAGATTTCTTAAAGAACTAAAAATTGATCTACCATCCGATCCAGCAATCTCACTACTGGCTATCTACCTAAAGGAAAAGAAGTTATTATATCAAAAAGACAGCTGCACACAAATGTTTATTGCAGCACAATTCACAATTGCAAAGATATGGAACCAAGCTAAGTTCCCATCAATCAATGAGTGGTTAAAGAAAATGTGATATATATACACCATGGAATACTACTCAGCCATTAAAAAAGAATGAAATAACATCTTTTGCAGCAACTTGGATGGAGCCAGAGGCCATTATTCCAAGTGAAGTAACTCAGGAATGGAAAATCAAATACTGTATGTTCTCACTTATAGGTGGGAGCTAAGCTATGGGTAGGCAAAGGCATGCAGAGTGATATAATGGACACAGAATGAGAAGGAAGGAGGGTGAGGAATAAATAATACTACATATTGGGTACAATGTACACTGCTCGGGTGATAGGTACACTAAAATCTCAGACTTCACCACTATACAATTCATCCATGTAACCAAAAACCACTGTACCTCAAAAGCCATTGAAATAAAATAAGTGATCAACACTATACTCACTCAGCTCATTTATATATCTGACACCCCTTCTTATCACTGGGTAGGTCCCACCGTCAATTCCTTTAAACTGCCTATTCTCACTCAGCTTCTACATGCTCCTACTTGTGGCTGACAGTGCTAGTCCACTCCTGCATCCACTCATCCCAGTTTCTCAGTATATACCCGCAATACCGATCACTGCTCTTTCCCTCAGTTTCTCTTTAACATGTGCTATTATCTAACATGAGGCACCTTCTGCTTCTAAAACTGAAACTCAGTCTCAGTGCTGAAATTCATTCAAAAATGCACCCTCCAATCAACTTCTCCAACATAAGAAAATGAAATTCATTCATTCAGTTTACAGTGACCCATGTTTTCAAAACTGAAACATACAATACATAGTCTGATGTTTGAAATATTTTAAGTCTGGCTAATATGGCATAAATATAAAATATATAGCAGACCCTCACTAAAACCATATCCATTTATTTAAAAGTGTGCATCATTTTGGCATTTCTAATTACTATTCCCTTGCTGTTCTGTTATTCTTCAGTAATGATAATCTGGCCATGAAGCCAGGATCCAAAAAAGGGCTCTGTCTCAGGAAAACAAGTTGTAATCTTGGTGCTGCCTAATTGACTTACTACTTCGAATGTCACTTCTTCATTCACAAAATGAGTATCCTAGTCTAGATCAGGGATCACAAACTCAAATGCTTCCAGGAGTCAGGTAGGTACCCTAAATGATTGAAGTGAGGTTTGAATGGGAGGGCAACAGGGCATTATAGTGACTTGTAGAAACTAGAAAGCAAATGCCCCCTCCAAAGGAGACAACTGTTTAAATTCAGCCTACTGCCATGCATGAATGTGGGCACAGTGTGGCCAGATCTGACTTTTCTAAAGAAGTTGGAAATCTGGACTTATTTGTGATATTACTTAACAGCTAAATCCATGTAATTGTTTAATAAAGCCATGTACAGGCCGATATTATAGAGGCTAAGTCAAACACATCTGCAGGCCAGATGAGACTTATGGTCCAACAGTTTGCCAGCTCTGATCTAGATGATACGTGTTTCTGGTGAAAAGGTCTCTATGTTCTCTCCTCTGGATGCTTACTTTAAAAACTAATGAGACTTTATATTTTAGCTATTTTTCAGTAAACTTGGCGGAGAGTTAACATCAGACAAAATAACTTGGCAGAGAAAACATGGGATATGAAGTCAGAAGACAAATCAAGTCCCTCCTTCACCCTTTAGAGTTGTATGGCCTTAGGCAAGTGGCTTAACTTCGTAGAACCTGAAGTTGTTATCAGTATGAAATACGGATGATTCCAACCCTTCTAGCTTGTAAGGTGATTATGTTATTTGAATAAAATTGTGTAAATGGAAGCACTTTGTAAACTCTAAAGCACCAAATAGCTCTCAGGAATGATGATTGTATTGTCTAACTCCCCAAAGATCAATTAAGGAGAAAAGCAGACTTTGGGATGGTAGAATATTACTTATTATGAAAAATGAAAGACTTCTCAGAACTTCCAGTAGAGGCCAGCAATTGATCTGATGTTAAATCTATCAAAATTATTAAATTGAAGCCAGACTCTGTGGCTCACACCTATAATCTTAACATTTGGGTAGGCTGAGGCGGGAGGATTGCTTGAGGCCAGGAGTTCAAGACCAGCCTGGCGACATAGTAAGACTCCATCTCTACAAAATTTAAAAAATTAACCAGGCATTGTGGTGCATGACTATAGTCCTAGCTACTCAAAGGCTGAGGTGGAAGGACCACTTGAGTACAGGAGTCTGAGACTGCAGTGAGCTATGATCACACTACTGCACTCCAGCCTGGGCAACAGGGTGAGACCCTGCTCTAAAATAATAATTTTTAAAAATGATTAAATTAAGTGGAATATGGCTTCAGACCTTCAGTCATTTGCAGCACACAGAGCCTTGTCTAGTTTTGCCTACTCTGGCACCTGAAGCAGCTACTCTAATAACCAGGTAAAATGCATTAATTCCAGGGTCTCTACATAGTAATATCGGGTTACAATCTTTTAATTTAAGATTTAGGATGATTCACAAAGACCTTTTAAGAATAACTAAATCCACTTTGTAATGAATGCTTGGAACAATTTCCATAGCTGTAGGCTGATAAAGGATGTCATATAGGAATCTAATATCACTCCCTGGCTTCTCCCCACTCTGAAACTGAACCACAGAAGGTTTTGGTCCTGTCCAAATGCCCTTCTGTAGGTACTAGGTTTTTATTCCCATCTATTCCAGAGGATCTCACCACTAATCACAGATAATCCTTGGACTTCTCTGGTGAGCCCAAAAATAGCTAAGTAATGCTGTAGTCTATTCCTACAGTAATTCACTTAAAATGGATCCTCTCATTTGTGCAAACCACAACACTTCATAATATCAATTAAGCAATCCCCTGACAACAGCTTAGACCAGGAGTAGCTAAACTTTTCCTGTAAAAGGCCAGACAGTAAATATTGTAGGCTTTATGGGTCACAAGGTCTGTGCCACAACTAATCTGCCATGATAGCATGAAAGCAAACACAGACAACACTTAAATGAATAAGCAAGGCTGAACTGCAATAAAACAACTTTTTTATGTATCATTGATATAAAATAATTGTACATATTTATGGGGTACAGTGTCATGTTTCTCAAATCAGGGTAATTAGCAATAAAACTTTACTTACAAACACAGGCAGAAGGCCCTATAGTTTGCCAACTCCTCTGGCTTAGACTATTTATTCACTTCATCCTATATGAAGTGAGCTGTATTCAATATCAGATGATACTAAACTGGGTAAGAATTCAGCCTACTGCCATGCAGGAATGTAATTCAGCCTACTGCCATCCTTTTAAAAAGGATTCCAAGTATAATTAACAAAACACTGCAATATGCTCTACATAATGAATTTCTCTTTCTTCTCTAAGCTACCCTGTGAGGTGGTTGTTTTGTTCCCCATTTGACAAGTAAAGAAACTGAGACTTCACACGCTTAACCAACTGGCTCAGAGTTATACAGCTAGTGGGCAACAGTTACACAGCTAGTAGGATTTCACCCTAGGTTGCTCTGATCCTACCTTGCGCTTGCACCAAAGCATTCAGCTGCCCATGGTAGTACATCTGGGAATTTCTAAATGCCTCAAAAAATTGCTGTGCTAATCTGAGATATGGATACTCATTAAACTTGCATTAAAAAATGTACATAATGATCGCACCACTGCATTCCAGCCTGGGCAACAGAGTGAGACTCTGTCTCAACAAACAAAAAAAAAAAAACCATAATGAAAGTGAGGATTTTTAAAATTTTTAGCTGAAATGAATCATGCTTAAATCCAAAAGGATGAATAGGGCTAAATTCCATTCACTATCCTTTTATTTTCAATTAGGGCTATAACATTTTATTTACAAGCTCTTTTGTAGAAGCCAACGAAGTAATAACAGGCCGATTTCTAATGCAGTAAGTAAGATAAATCATTCTTCTCACAGTTTCACTGGGCCTTCTCACTCTCTTGTTATAAACAACATCAGTAGAAACATTAGCTTTTTCTTGCACTTAAATTTGAAATACAAATCTCTTTTGCAAATTTAACAAGTTGGTATTATGGACCACTCAGGAGAAAACTGTTAAAAGGAAAGAAACCCATTATTGAAAAATCCAAATATTTAACAGAATAAACTGTGAACATGATACTATTACTATTGAGGATCTAGTAGAGCATATTTAAATGGGTTATTTTTAATGTATTTTCTTAATACTGAAAATGTTTTCAATGTACCTTCAACTTCCTTGGAAATCAGAGCCAGTCACTATTGAAGATTTTGTTCCACATATCAACATTACCATCTATGGTGCTAAGAAAAATTACTCTCAAATGTTTTTAAGGTAACCGAAGTTCTCTAGTAATTGTAAATTACCATGAGAGATAAATGAAAATTTGTAAAGTAACTCAAAAGAGCTTATTTGTCTTCTAATCAGTAATGCGCCTTTAGCTACTAAAACATTGAAAGTAAAACATGTTGAAACAAACCATTAAAACATGTTTAGAATTTCAAGAAATTGGAAAGTACCCGTTTTCCACAGATCTGCCTAATCACTACACAGACTAATCAAAACAAATCTAAAAAATTTTCAACAAAGCAAAAATTATACTTTGATAACAAACTAGATGAAGCTTAATATAAATACAACTGCTAGTTGTATTTCAGTTATGCTTCCCTTGAAGGCATATGGAAGATTCAACTAATAAAGTTAAATCAAGAACTTGGGAAGCACAGTAAAACTTTTTAACTAGAGGCTGCTGGGTTCCATGCTATGTTATGGAAATACTACTCTTTATTCACCTTCTGTAATCCTTTGTGTATTTTTGCAGGTCTATGTATTGCATTAAAGAACAGATGCATAGACCTGGTGTGTAAAATGGCAGAAGGCTCCAGACCCAAACTACAAAATAGCCACAAAGTTCCATCTTTAGAAAACAATCGTAATTCTAACTCGATCCCTACAGGCCTCATCACCAGGCTTTGATCCTTTTGAGATAGTACACTTTTATCTCCTTTCTATCTTCGGTGCCTAGCACAGGGTCTGGCAATAATAGTAGCAACAACAACAACTAACATAAATTCCATCCTTCCTATAGGCCAGATATTATGCTAATAAACCTTTTATAGAAAATGCTTATTTAGCCCTGATGCAGCAGCTCATGCTTGTAATCCCAACACTTTGGGAGGCCAAGGCGAGAGGATTACTTGAGCTCAAGAGTTTGAGACCAACCTGGGCAACCCAGGGAGACTCCGTCTCTACAAAAAGTTTTTTAAAAATTAGCCAAGCGTGGTGGTACACGCCTGTGGTCCCAGCTACTCAGGAGGCTGAGATGAGAAGACCACTTGAGCCCAGGAGGTTGAGGCTGCAGTGAGTTGTGATTGTGCCACTGCACTCCAGCCTGGCAGCCTCAGCAACAGAGCAAGACCCTGTCTCAAAAAAAAAAAAAAAAAAAAAAAAAAAAAAAAAAAAAAAGAAAAGAAAAGAAAAAGAAAAAGAAAAAAGAAAGAAAGAAAGGAAAAGAAAAGAAAATGCTTATTTAATCCCCAAGAGAAGCTTCCTGAAGCAAATAATAACTCCTCATTTGAACACAGGGATAAAGGGGAAGGAAAATATGCATTTTACAAATAATGAACTAAATAATGAACTAAAATCTATCAAAATTGTTCACTTATAAGCCAATTTTTATTATTACCAATTTAAAATTAAGCAAACAAACATTTAGCTAAGAAAAATATATAAATTTAAATGTTAGACAAATAAAAGTATTAATCTGAAAAATATTGATATTTAAAAGTTTTGAATCAACAAATTGTTGAGGCTGTTCTGTTTTTGAGAAGCCAGTTGACTTGTAGCTAAAGATGGATGCGAGGTCCTCCAAGGCTTCAGCCCTGCCTTGTGGGCACTCAACTCACATGTTTGGATCACAGCTACTCCCTCAGCAGATCAGGTTACCCCACATTTATATCACAAAAGGAGGCAAAAACAATGGTAAGGTCCACTTAAAATGTGAAGTGATATATTAAAGTTTACATATGTAAGTGCACCCATAACTGATTATTTTCCAGAATGGTCAGTAGCTTTCAAATTTTTGAGATTCGTAAAATCCTGGAAACAGAATGTGGATTCAACTGCAGGAGGAATGATAAGAGCTGATCTAGTACCAAGTGAAACAGACAGAAGGGAAGAGATCGGGAAACAGAAAAAGAAGATTAATTTCTTAGAAAGCATGAGGAGGCTTAAAGATAGTTAAAAGTATGGCTTTCTCTACCACTCTTCAGCAAATTCCTAACTAGCCCTCTGAGATTATACACTTAACATTTGGAAAGTGTTTGGTTATCAATAAAAGTGGAAATAATGCAAAAATAGGAAGCCCAAAAGACAGTAGAGATACAAAGGGGCTCCTAGTTGCATCACCTTTTTATTTTGTTCCAATTTTAGACTTTCATATATATATATACATATATATATACATAAATTCTATTGATTAAAATTCGTCTCTTTTAATAAAAACTCAGACAAAAATAAATTTATTCACTAATTCAGTAAATCAAATTGAATTATAACAGTTTTTACTTTCCCATGATTAAATACAAAATGCCCACATAAATTAAACTATTAAACTATTAAACTTAAGGCAATAAAATATAATTATATTTAAAAATTAAAACTATATTACAGTTTTCTAACTTAAAATAATTAAAATACATAGATAAGCTTAAAATGCATAATTCTAAGTAAATATGCAAGTTTATCAAGAAATGCTACCCAGAATCTCATCCCTTCTAGGTTGTGACTTTAGATAAGACAGCTGGCCTCTCCTGGGTTATAAACTGAGGGCACTGGATGAGAAGATCCTTCTAAGCTTCTTTCCTGCAGTATGGCCCTAACTTTTATCATGCCTAGTTTGAGACGTCTTTCTACACAGATTTATTTTACAGATTGCTATGGATAAATTCGTTCTGGAAAATGAAGGCTCCTTTCTAATAACAGACAGACATTTCGGGCCCTTGATGAACTTCCTCCCTCCCTTTAGCCATCACAGTCTCATCAAAAATTCTACGTAAGAACAAGATGGAAAATCAAAAGTCCAACTACTGTATTAATCTTTTCATAGTTGCCCTAAATGATTGACAAAGTAAAGTTTGTGTGTCAATATGATTTACATGCAAATAACCTATACAGATCAGGAAAAATGAATTAAAAAGTAATTGTTTATATTTGCTTGTTCCTAAGAAACTTTTCCATTAAGAATTTAGTCTGATTGAGTGAGCAGATAAAGTAGGTATATCTTTATGATTTTGCTCTTTCCTAACTTAATCTACCTTAGAATCTAAATCATTTTTCTACATGTGTTTTCATATCATTTTCCTGTTGATCTTTATCATAATACATTAGTGAGTACAAATGAGGTAAAATTCCCCAATCTCCACTCACTACAAGCTACATGTGTGTCTTAATGTACGTGGAAAGGTCTTTTGCCCTAACCTTAGATTCTACAATTAACTACTGCTAGTTTGATTGGTTGTAGGTGAACTAAGGTGTAGAGTATTTGAAGGCTAGTGAATGCAACTTGCAGTGATTAAGAAAAGTCTGTATTCTTTTCACATTAAAAGAAGAAGGTTTTATTAGATTGGTACAAAAGTAACTGCAGTTTAGCCATTACTTTTAATGGCAAAAACGAACCTAATAAAACCTAAATTTACTTGAACTGTGCATGAAACATCCTTCCCCCAGATCTCATTGAGGCTGGCTCCTTCACAATTCAGCTCCATTATAACTGCAAACAGCCTTCTCTGACCATTTGCCACCATATTACTCGATTAATTTCCCTACCTTATAAGATATTGTGAATATTAAATTTTAAAATTCATGTTAAATGCTCAGGACAGGCCCTGACACATAATAAGAACTCCATAGTATTAGCTATGATCATTTTTATGATCTGATATTATCTTGCTTATTTACTGTGTTACTGTTCCCCCACTATCATTTTCACTGCTGTATTTCCAGTGGCCAGGAGACTTCCCAGTACATAGAAGGTGCTCAATACATTATTTATTAAATGGATCAATTTCAATATTCTCTCACCCATGAGTAAGACATGGCTGAGTGAACTCATATTCATTCTCTCACTTGAAATGAAATTTTTATGTGCAAAGCAGTGTAGTAGACACTGAGGATACGAGGTGAATTAATAAGTGAGTGTCCTTATGGGAAAGCAGGCTATGTCACCAGATATACAATATGATACGGAACAAAAGAAGGGCATGGAGCACCTGGTAAATTCAGAAATTTTCCTAACATCAACTGCTATTTGCTTGTTGGAACCTCCCAGAAACTTAACTTAATCTCCGCTTCCTCTCCTGAGCTCTTGATCCATAAATCCCATTGCACACTGGACATATCACTCAGATGTCCTAAAGTCACCTCAAAGTTAAACTGGTCCCACTTCCCACCTCGCCTGCTCCTTCCTTTCATTTCCTGTGTCCATGGACAGCCACATACCTGTGTCATTCAAGGCAGGAATATGGGGATTGTTCTCTTCTCTTCCGCTTTCTGCATTCCCACACACAGAGTCAGGCACTAACTCCTCGAGTTTGTTCTAATGCATGGAGTCTCTCTAATTTGGTCCCCTCCCTGCCCTCAATGTTGTCATTTTCTTTTTTACATCCCTATACAGCCCCTTACAGTCCAGGGACTAAGGTTTCTAGGTCACTTAATTCCCAGCACTTTTTAACTACCTGGATTTCAATATGTGAATGAGTGAATGAATGGTATAGGAACACAGAAAGGGGGCTGCTCTCTGAGGAAGTAGGGAAAGGCACCACAGATGAGGTAATACTTGAGTTTTTATTAAATAATGAATGGGAATGGGTCAGGGGAAGAAATTAGAGGGATCTTTCAAGCCCCAGAAGAACATGGGTCTTTCTGGGAGTAGTGAAAATCTCAATGTGGCTGGGGACAGGAGACACAGCTAAGCAAGTGACAAGAGATGAACCTGGGGAAGGCAACTGGGATTTGAATCTAAAGGGACTCAGAGGTCCCACAAATGGACTTGGACTTAATTCTGGAAGCAATAGGAAATCAGAAAATGTGCGTAAGCAGAGAAGTGGCCCCACCAGAGATGATTCTTCTGCAGACAGATAGCAGTAGGATGAAGCTGGTGGCAGAGAGGTGGTGAGGGTCAGAAATCCGGCCCCTACAGTGTGAAGGGAGAGAAAGGGATAGATTTCAGAGGTCTTGTAATGGTGGGATCAGTAATATTTGGTGATGTAGAGAACTACGTTAGCAACAACTGGGTACCTCAAAGTTAACTTAGTGATATTAGTAAAATCTTGTTTGCTATGTTTTTCTACCAAAACACTGCATCAAAACCAAAAAGACAAAAACAACCTCATATCAATTGGACAAAATAACCACGGGAACAATTTTAGTTACAGTATTTGGGCTTTTTCCAAGCAAAATCATGTACAGTCCCAAAGGGCCTCAGAAGCCGGATGTCCTCTAAGTCCATAACAGATACTATTAGCTTTCGTGAGATCATAGGTCAGGAAAATGGAAAAAAGTCTAAACAACTAAAACAATCAAACACCAAGCAACTGAAAAATTGTTCAAATGATATTAGTGGAAACTAAGAAAACTGGGCCTACAGAGCAATCCACAGTGGATGTACAGCAGGTCCTTGAATAGCGTCACTCTGTTATTATGTTGATGAGAACAAAAACCGATTCCCAGACGAGGCCATTGTCTGTGTGGAGTTGCAGGTTCTCCCCATATCTGCATGGGTTTTCTCCCCTTATTCCAGTTTCCTCCCACATCCCAAAAACGTGCATCTTCGGTGAACTGGCGTGTCTGCATGGTGCCAGTCTGAGTGAGTGTGGGTGTGTGTCTGAGTGCACCCTGGGAGGGAATGGCTCCTGGCCAGGGTTGGTTCCCACCTTGTGCCCTGAGCTACGCTGAGCTGCCAGAATAGGCTCTGATCACTCACAACTCTGATTTGGAAGAAGTGTCTAAATAATTATCTTACTTGTTTTTATTCATCTTTCTTAAATGTATGTATAGCTTACATTTATTTTAATGTTTAATGTTAGAAGTGTTTTGTCTTATTTCGAGTTTTGGTGATGTTTTTGTGGCCAGAAATATGCCTTAGGAACTTAACTCTTTTTTTGTTTGTTTGCTTTGTTTTTGTTTTTTTGAGACGGAGTCTCCCTCTGTCGACCAGGCTGGAGTGCAGTGCCGCCATCTCGGCTCACTTGCAAGCTCTGCCTCCCGGGTTCACGCCATTCTCCTGCCTCAGCCTCCCGAGTAGCTGGGACTACAGGCGCCCACCACCACGCCCGGCCAATCTTTTTGTATTTTTAGTAGAGACGGGGTTTCACCGTGTTAGCCAGGATGGTCTCTATCTCCTGACCTCATGATCTGCCCGCCTCGGCCTCCCAAAGTTCTGGGATTACAGGCGTGAGCCACCACACCCGGCCTGAACTTAACTTTTTATATCAATCAGCCTATGGTAAAATTGGTTTCACTTAACTTCACAGTTTCCAAGAACATATGAACAAAGTGCGGATTTACTCTACAATAAAAAATATCATACAGAGTTAACAAGTAACCTAAGATAATCTACTACAAAATTCGGAAAAGACTATAATTTCTTGCTGAGGATGAGAGAGGCCAGGAAAGCTTTTAAAAGAAGTGCCACCGGAGTTAGACCTTAAAGTGTGCAGTAATTTCACTTGCAGAGTTGAGGGGTAGTCCTCTTCAGAGAAAGAGAACAAAGACAGAGGTGGGAAAATCTGGGGAGCAGTAAAAGAATAGCCAGGGATTTCCATTTTGATTGGCTTATGGGGTACATAAATAGAAATAATGGAAATTAAAACTGAGAATGTAGTCCAGGGCCAGGTCTTAATGGATCCCAAATGCTACAATAAGCCATCTGAACTTCAGGGACCCACTAGAGGCAGAGTGAACAAAAAAGTGCCACACTCAGCGCCAGCTTCAGGAACAGTAACCTGGCAGGAAAGGGACAGGGGAATGAATGGATGGGGGCAAGGTAAACAATTGTTGGGTGCAAGTTAGGGTAGGGGCAATAGGAACAGATATGGAAGACACTTTTGAAACAAAAAAAGAAACAAGTAGGTGGGGCTTGATAAGATTGGAATTGGAAAAAGCTCAGAATAGTTCCAGTGAGAAACACAAGTAGGAGCAAATTTGTAATGAGACTGCAATGAAGCCAGAAGAGGTTCTAATTGTGGGTTGATATTTGTGGTAAAACCAATCAAACCAATTTTTCTGCTGAGTCTGGTCTCTGCACGGCCCCTGGAAATGCAGCAGCTGGTGGCTAGCTAGAGACTGAAGCTGTCCTAATAGGACAACAGGGGGTTAGGTGAGGGGGCGGGGGGAAATGGGAAGATCCAAGGTCTTTGATGATGTTATTGGATCGCTAAATTAACCAATCATGGGACTGACTGTGAGTTACATGCTAAAACGTTATAGCAGATTTTCCTTATTGTTAACAAAAATCAAGATTCATGTCCTTTTTTTGTACTCAGTAATACAAGAGGAGGCGGAGAGAAATCAGATGGTGATACCTAGAATTGGAGATTTGCAGAGCAAGTAAAATAGGATCAGAGCCTGAAGTCCATGGAACTATCAAAAACTGAGCTCAAATGGCAGACCAAACGGTCCACATGAGTAGAGAGGCAGGTGAGGCCAGTGTGGCATGTCAAGGCAATGGATGAGGCAAGAAGCTGTTACACTGAGAATAAAGCCAAGATTCAGCCCAAGAGAAGATTGCAAAGAGGCAGAACTATAACTGGGTATCATCCGAGAAGATCATTTCAGATAAGGGGCAGTTTCAAATGTCAAGCAGGTCTGAAGTGTGGTTGTGCCTATAAGGAGCAAGAGTGAATTAGAAATAAAGTTCTTTGGCCGGGCACAGTGGCTCATGCCTGTAATCCCAGCACTTTGGGAGGCCAAGGTGGGTGGATCACGAGGTCAGGAGTTCGAGACTAGCCCAGCCAACATGGTGGAACCCCATCTCCACTAAAAATACAAAAATTAGCCAGGCATGGTGGTGCACACCTGTAATCCCAGCTACTCAGGAGGCTGAGGCAGGAGAATCACTGGAATCCAGGAGGCAGAGGTTGCAGTGAGCCGAGTTCATGCCACTGCACGCCCTCCTGGGTGACAGAGTGAGACTCTGAGAAAGAAAAAGGGAAGAGAAGGGAAAGGGAAAGGAAAGGAAAGTTCCGTAATGTCCTCAGGCCAAAGATCTCTGAGGCCAGGGATTGGAACACCAGGTAAAGTGTTTAGCAGTTTCCATGAGATGATAGAAGAAAGAGAGAGTCAGCAAAAGTGGACTCTTCTAGGTTGAGAAGTGAGCAGAAGGTGTGAGTTGAATGTAAGATGGAAGAAGTGTGGTACACAGGATAGAGTGGAATTCACAACACAAGTTCTTGAGAGGCAATGAACAAGCAATAGACTGGATGTGCTGGTGGGAAGCAGGAAATTCTCTGGCTCCTGCTCCTCACTCTGAGAGCCAGAAAATTGAAAGAAATGACGACGAGTGAAGAATGTGGCTCAGGAACTTGTAATTTAGAATAAGGCCAAGAGTGAGTTTTGGCAAGAGTGTAGGGAAATATTAAGGGAAAAGTTAAAGAATGAGAGGTCTGTGTAAGTAATAGAATCCTAGAGTGTACTAGGAAGGTATGGTTGGGGAGAAGAAAGGTATGAATTTGAGGATGGGGCTGAAATATTTAGACAGAAACCAGAGGCGTAAGAGGCGGGGTAGGGGTGTGTATACTTCAGGGGACTTTTTTCTGTTTTTTCTGTTGTCGTTGTTGTTGTTGTTGGATGGGGGTGAAAAGAGCCTCGCTGTGTTACCCAGGCTGCCAGGCTGGAGTTCAGTGGCACAAATATAGCTCACTGCAGCCTTGATGACCTGGGCTCAAGCAATCCTCCTGCCTCAGCCTCCTGAGTAGCTGGAACTATAGGCATGTGCCACCACATCCAGCTAATTTTTAAGTATTTTTAGAGATGGGGGGGTCTCACTCTGTTGCACAGACTGGTCTCGAACTCCTGGCCTCAAGCAATCTTCCCACCTAGGCCTCCCAAAGTACTGGGATTGCAGGGGTGCCTGGCCCTTAGGGATGATTTTTAAAGACAGAAATGTAGATGATAGCCAATTGGGTTTTTGGCTGGAAAGACATAAGAGTTGATAGGAGAAAGCAGGACTGGAAGAATAAACTAAGGCAAATTTTGGCAGTTTAACAGCCTGGCAGAATGAAAATTGTAGATGCTTTCAGAAGCAAGCAGACCCTAGGCCTGATTTTGTAATTTACTAGCCATGTCACCTTAAGCTTCTGTTTCCTCATCATTAAAATGGAAATAAAAATACCTACCTTGCAGGGGTTTTAATATAATTTAGAGATAATCTATGCAAAACAACTGGCATTGTCATAAGCATTTCGTGGACACTCAATAATGTGAAGCATCACTCTTTTTTTTTTTTTTTTTTTTTTTTTTTGAGATGGAGTCTCGCTCTGTCGCCCAGGCCGGACTGCGGACTGCAGTGGCGCAATCTCGGC
Source organism: Homo sapiens (assembly GCF_000001405.40). Classification (NCBI taxonomy): domain Eukaryota; kingdom Metazoa; phylum Chordata; class Mammalia; order Primates; family Hominidae; genus Homo; species Homo sapiens. The sequence continues at coordinate 197,975,086 of NC_000002.12, read as the reverse complement.
TCACTGCAAGCTCCGCTTCCCGGGTTCACGCCATTCTCCTGCCTCAGCCTCCCGAGTAGCTGGGACTACAGGTGCCCGCCACCGCGCCCGGCTAATTTTTTGTATTTTTAGTAGAGACGGGGTTTCACCTTGTTAGCCAGGATGGTCTCGATCTCCTGACCTCATGATCCACCCGCCTCGGCCTCCCAAAGTGCTGGGATTACAGGCGTGAGCCACTGCGCCCGGCCAAGCATCACTCTTACTATAGCTAGCTTCCAAGCTCCCAGGCCTGTCAGGGCAAACAGCTTCTGACAGCGCAGCTGAGATTGGGAGAAGGGGTCAGAATTTCCCCCAACGGCATTCTTCCCAAAGTACACAATACCATTACAGAATAAAGCCATGAGCTTAGCAATGAACAAGAGTGAAAATTCTGAATTAAACTCTGCACTAATTCAGCAGCCCTGTGGTGCAAAAGACCTGAAGAGGAACTTCACATATATGGCTGTAGAAACAAACTTTGTGCTCTGCATTTTGTTTATTCAGTGAATGAGCCTATCATCAGTACTTGCAAATTAGCTCTAATTATCAGATAAAAGTGATGTGGTTATTCTAATTGCCTGAAAATCAACTGCTACAAAGACTCTAAGTAGTAAGCAATAATTACCATATCATTTCATAAAGGAGGGCTTCTTTTTTTTCCTGACTGAAAGTAGCACATGCTCAAGATGAATTACAGGACTGGTTTAAACTTTTACTTATCTTTTCACAATTCACATCAGATCCATGCCAATGGTTCCCAAATTGAAATCTCCAGCCCAGGACTTTCCATAGCAATTCAAGCTGCCTGTCTGATATCTTTCCTTCAATATCTATTAGGCCACCCAAACTTAATATGGCAAAATCAGAACTCTTGGTAAGTCTCCAAACCAGTTCCTCCCCAGGTCTCTCCCTCCTCATAAATAGCCCTACCATACACCCAGTTTTTCCAAGTCCAACACATAGGAATCCTCCTTGATTTATGCCTTTTCTTATTCTCTTACAGGCAGCCATCAGCAAGTCCTGTGAGCTCTACTCTGAAATACATCCCAAAGCCATGACACTTCTCTCCTTCTCCACTGCCACTAACCTTGTCTGAGTCACCATCACATCTCAGTTGGATGACTAGATAACTAATTCCCTATTCTCTCTACTCCTCCACTATCCATTCTTCACCTAGCAGCCAGAGGAACCAAGAAGAGTATACAAATCAGGGCCTATCATTCTCTTGTTTAAACCCTCTAATGGTTAACTGCTCTTACAATAAAATCCAAATTTTTCCCCATGGCCTGCAAGGCCCACTTGACCTCACGCCTGCCCACCTCCCTGACCTCAACTCCTGTCATGCTCCCCTTTGCTCATGTACTCCGGCCACACTGGACTTCTTCCTTTTCCCTGAACATGTGAAGCTCCTCCCCACCATTCCCTTGCCAATCCCTCTCCTGGAATATCCTGACATCAAACCTTTTCATGGCTTGCTCTTCTTTTCACTAAGAGTGAAATGTTACCTCCTCTATGAGTCTGTCTCAATTTTAATTAGTACCTAGTCATTCTGTACTAAATTATACTTTTTTATTATTTTTATACTTCTCCCCACCAAAATGGCATAGGGCAGGCACTCAATAAATGTAGGATTCATGAATAAACTATACATAAATGTTCTTCAATTGAATTATGGTAAACACATCAGAAAGGCTTAAAGTATCATCCTACTTGGGACAGTCAGATCTCCTAGAATTCACCTTCAATTCAAAAGTCACTCAAAAATCTGCTGAATTGGTTTCCACCAGCTCCCAAGCCCATAAGGAAAGACGGTGGTAAGCAGTCGCCAAGCAAAGTGCACTTGTATCCTTCTACAGCTTCTTAGTTCATACCTCCATGCACTACTGTGGCTGAGAGCCTCTGGGAACAGTAGGGACTCGCCTCATGAAGACCCAGATTGTGTTTCTTAAAGAACCTGAGCAGATCTCCCACCTCATTAGGCAGAGTCACCAGCAGCAGGGCAGCTCCAAGAAGACTTGAGGACAAGGGTAGTTTATCCTTGCCAGGGGGAGAATATTGCTGTCTCCTGCTCTGCACAGCCATCTCATTGATACAGAACCTGTGTCAGTTGGATTCTTCCTGTTTATCAATCACTACAACCCTTCTGACAACCATGCAAAGGCTTCAAAGTGTATGGAGAACTGGAAGGGACAATGGGGAAGGTCCTAGTTTTCGATCATGTCTATGAAGTAACCACAGTGCTTTTCACACCATATAAAAATTAGACCTTGATAAGGAAAAAATTTTGCTGACATATATCAAAGAGTATGTGAATATGTCAAAAATAATAATTTGTTTTACTTAAAAAAATTAAACCTAGGAGAGACCATAGCACTTTTTACATCTAAACCCTCCAGATTAGACAAAGGAGAAAAATGGACCCAGAAAATGTAAACGGCTTGCTGAAGATCTCCAGCAATTCAGAATATTTTTGGATATATGACACCTTATATTTTGTACATTTTTAAAGATGGATAAAAGTGAACTGATGATGAAGGATAATTTCTTTACTTTACCCACACTCAGGAGTTTGAGTAAAATTAACATTACGAGGATGTTTTCTCTGATGCTGTCAGACATGTAATTGAACTCAACAAGGTCGCATCTCTTGGGGAAAAAAAATCTCCTTTTCTCATCTCACATCTTGTTACACTTTGTTTTTCCTTTCCTCTTGCTACATGTAATTTGTTGAGGTAGAATGCCTTCATACTGAATTTATTTTGGAAAGATTTTCCAAGAAATTAGAGTTCCAAGTTTTCCAGACATTGCAAAACAAACCCTGTACTTGCCTTTCTTTGACGAAACTTGGCAGCCTGCCTCAAAAACATATTACTCAGCATGTGCCCTCATGGCATAATTCCCAAATCTTCTATAATCTTACAAAAGCATTTTTTATTTCTGAAGAAATGTTCACTTTCAGATAAGATGCCACCATGACCTGAATCAGCTACTTCCCTGTGTCATTTAGAAAATCAATTGGAGCCTAACCCAGGGAGGAGGATACTAGGCCTATAAACATGTACATTTTAAATATTCTGTGATAACCAAAATGCATGTACTGGCAGTATACTTCTGATTACTTTTATATTTATAATAATTTGACAGTTTTATTTTAAAAATTAGCATTCAACAGAATGCAAATAATATAGACAATTTTTGGTTGGGTTCTTAATCTTTGTCCTGATGTTACCCATAAATGAAAAAATGCTAGATCAGATTATTTGCTGAGTATACAGATGATACATGCTCATCTGGAGAAAAATTCAAAATGTGTAACAAAGAAAGTAAAAGTCACCTGAGATTCAGCCACCATACAGAGAAAGAATCACTACAGTTTGGTAACCACTGTTGTAATATCTTTCTATGCACATACACATAATATGTGATTTTATGCACATGGAATAGTATATAAGTTGGTTTGTGGACAAGTTTTTGCTAATTCTATGGTCTTTTGATGAGAGTATCTATCTTCCCCTTCCCCTGTGTCACCTCCCCTGCCGCTCCTTAGCCAATGGAACAGCCTAGTATGCATCCGTCCATAACTCCTTCTGGGTTCGTACACTTTCATGGCAATAGCTATAATTTATTAAGTGCTTAAGATGTTTTCCAGCCTATTTGGTACTTTGTGTTTCCCCCACCCTTTATTTGTTAAGGTATGTTGTTCCTTTCAGTGACTCTTTTTACCACCTATTTTACTTTCTGTCTCACTCATCTAAAAATCCAAAGAACTGCTTCCTCACATGTGCAGTCCCCACAGCTGATGCTGCAGAAGGACTTCATGGCAGCTCCATTTCTCTTTTTCTGTTTCCTTTTGGTTTGTAGCACAAGGCCCCATGCAAAGGGGCCTAATTTAATAAATATCCTAAGTGGCAGATATTGGAAAAGAAATAAAAGTCACAACTATGACTGAACAAACAGGGACTTCTTTGTTATTTTTACAAAGATAAGAAAATGTTAGCCATAAGGAGTGACCTTGCTAAAAAATTTCATCAGGAGAAGTATTTAATGGGCATAACCCCAGCCTTCTTATTATAGCATAAACATAACATCACAATATGATATTCAATTATCTGATGATTGAAAAAGATTTGAGTTATTCTTTAGCTAACGGAATTACAAGAAGGAATTATTAAACACAAAAATACAAACAAACTTCATGTTGAGAACGGCATTATTTGTTAAATGTTAAACTACATATAAATGGAGACACAGTTTGTTCATTAAACCTACATTAATGTTGCATATCTCATATCCCAGACACTGTTGGATGTTGTGGGGGAAAAAAAGGTAAAACGGATACAACTCTTGTCTTCAATAAGCTTGTAGTTCAGTGCAGCACTATCTAACAGAAAGATAATGCAAACCATGTGTAACTTTTTAAAAGTAAAAAGCACCAGGTAAAATAAATTGTAATACTATATTTTATTTAACCTAATATATCCAAAATATTATTTCAACATGTAACTAATATTCAAAAATTATTGAGATAGTTCACATACTTTTTGTCATACTAAGTCTTCAAAATTCAGCATGGGTTTTACACTTATAGTATATCTCCATTTGGACTAGCCACATGCTATGGTTTGAATGTTCACTCCAAAACTCTCATTGAGATTTAATTGCCATTGTGACAGTATTAAGAGGTGGCACCTTTAAGAGGTGATTAGGTCATGGGGACTGCACTCTCATGAATGGATTAATGCTATTGTCATGGGAGTGGGTTTGTTATTGCAAGACTAGGTTTTTATTAAGTGAGCCTGGCCCCCATGCTCTCTCTTTTTACACACACTCACTTGCCTGCTTACCTCCCACCATAGGATAACATAGCAAGAAGGCCCTTATCAGATGCTGGTACCATCCTCTTGGACTTTCCAGCCTCCAGAAATGTGAGAAATAAATTTCTTTTCTCTATAAATTACTCGGTCTTGAGTATTCCGTTACAGCAACAGAAAATGAAATAAGATGCCATACTTCAGGGGCTCAATAGCCACATATAGCTGGTGGCTATCATATTGGAAAGTACAGGTCCAGTGCATTTGTCAGAATAAGTCAGGTTATGCTGTATACAAACCACCCCAAAATCTCAATGGCTCAAAGAATCAAAAGTATATTTCTAGTTTAAACTACATGCACTTTGCAGGTCAGCAGGAGACTCTGGACATTGCAGTCATTCAGGGACTCAGACTTCATCTCTACATACCATCACAGTGAATAGGAAGGAAAAGTAGGAGTTGAGCAGTGGCTATTAAATGATTTCACCTGAAAATAATTTGCATCACTTCTGATCACATTTCTTTGGTCAAAGTGAGTCATTTGGCCAAAGATGGTGGAAAGTACAATCTTATCATCTGCTCAGAAGACTGAGAGCTGGAAATATTTGCTGTACAATATCAATGATTACCATATGTATTAAGCAAACATTATGAGTCAAGCAATGTGAAAAACAAGAAGGGAGAAAAAGAGTAGATAGCTAGATCTACAACACAGGATGGAGGTGATGAAAGCTCTCAGTAAGAGAGAGATAAAAGGCTTAGGGAGTTAAGGGGAGAGTCAAGTTACTGCTGGCACCAATGGAGAAGCAGGCATAAATAGCACTTGCCTGGAACTGTCTTACACATCAGGAGGATCACTCCACCTAATTAACTCAGAGTCTAGCCTTGAGAAAGCAGATATCTCAACTCTATTATAGAGGACATATTGCCACTATGCACACCCTATAAAAAATGTACACTACAACATATGCTAGACTCACACATGCACTTTGAGGGTGATTTTGTGTAAATTGTCCTTTTAAATCAGTGGTCGCCAAACTTTTTGGTACCAGGAACTAGTTTCATGGAAGATAATTTTTCCATGGACCAGAGTGGGAGGTTGTTTCAGGATGAAACTCTTCCACTTCAGATCATCAGGCATTAGACTCTCATAAGGCACACACAATCTAGATCCCTTGCATATGCAGTTCACAAATAGTTACCACTCCTATGAAAATCTAATGTTGCCACTGATCTGACAGGAGGTGGACTGCTCAGGCGATAGTGTTCACTCACCTGTAGCTCACCTCCTGCTGTGTGGCCCGGTTCCTAACCAGACCGTGGTCTGGGGGTTGGGGACCCTGTTTTAAATGAATTACTCTTAACTTATAAAACAGCCATCTCTGAACCAGCCATCAGATCATCCAGAACATTCTAAGATCTCAGAAGAGGGGTAAGGGGAGTAATCTGCAGTGACTAATACCTGCACTATGTTCTGAAAACGTCCAGTAGAATAAGAAATTCAGTGAAAAACCAAAGATAGTCTCCAGAAGAACAATTTTAATTTCCTAATCAGCATCCTGTACTGGTATTGAGAGACTGCTTTGTTGAGAAACAGACCATTCTGATTAGATAAAATAATTTTTTATAGAGGAATGGAAACTAAAACTGGAGAATTAAGTTAGCACCATGGTATACTGGAAGCCCTTCAATGCAAAGAAAGTGATTTTTAACTATTTCTATTTTCCCAGTTAATTGCCTTAGAATAATATCTCTAAAGAGTTGGAAACCTAGAAAGTACCCCAAAAATGATGAATACTTTTGTTATTATCATTTTATAAGGAAACCTAGAAAGTACCCCAAAAATGACAAATATTTTTGTTATTACCATTTTGTAAGGGGGGATCTCTGATAATTCTGTGTGGTACATTCACCTTGCTAGGAATGATGGATTGGCCTTTTAAGGCTGACATAGTTCCTGGGTTTTATGTGACCACTTGGGTTTAGTTCTCCCAAGGCCAGATTTCCATGCATGTTAATCTCATTTACTAGTGAAGATTAAAGAAAATAACAGAAAACAGCTTAATTTTTGGATTCCTAAAAAGCATAAAATAATTTCAGAACCTTGAAATTCTAAAGCATAATGTAACACACAAAAGCAGTATCCACTTAGGTAAATTAGACTTGTATGTTATCTTGAGGTAATAGAATGTCACTAGAATAATAAGTGAAAGACAATTAAGCTCAATAATGGCTATGTTCTCAAGAAGCTACTCAGCCAGCCACACATCACCAGGGGGAAGCTACTAGAAGATATTGGTGAGTGGAAGAGAGTAGGCCTTACAAGAACAAGGGAGAAATCAAAAGTCACCCAAGATGACAATAACTTTTCTAGCTTTGATGGATCAGGCCTTTGAGTTATATGAGGGAGCATATAATTTCTTTCCATGTTTCTCTCTTCTGAACAAAAATAATTCAAAGTTCATATGCATGATAAAGTTCAGCATTTAAAGGGCACTGACATTTTATTGATAATAAAAATAAACTAAGAGAGAATATGTAATTTTTTCCTCTGGATTTCTTACCTTTTCATTTATGACTAGGAGGCAGACATAACTTTTCTGACCAACTTTTTAACTGTCAAGTAAATAATGAACCCACATACAAGTCCTGGAAGAGTCACTAAAGAAACCCCCAAAGTAAATAAAGAAATATAAAATGGAAAGCAGTGTTCCTACTTTTGAGCAGATTATTTCAATTCTAATTACTCAGTTTAGAATGCATTCCAGTTGCCCATATGTATCTAGTGATACCCAAGTTACTTCTAAATTTAGGTCAAGATTATCAATAAGTGATCAGAAAGAGAACAGCCTGGCCAACATGGTGAAACCCCATCTCTACTAAAAATACAAAAATTAGCTGGGCGTGGTGGCACGTGCCTATAATCCCAGCTATCCTGGAGGCTGAGGCAGGAGAATTGCTTGAACCTGAGAGGCGGAGGTTGCAGTGAGCTGAGATTATGCCACTGCACTTCAGCCTGGAAGACAGAGCAAGACTCCATTCCAAAAAAAATAAATAAATAAACTGCTAATGTAACGTGGTGATTCTCCTGTAGAAAAGCAGTTTTTCTTGTAAGGTTGCAGGAGCAAGTTCTCACTGGGGATCCACAATGTCAGCACCCATTCAACTCTCTGACCCTCTAGTCTCTGAGCTGGAGCAGCAGACTCTGCTTCCATGTTTAGTTCTGCCCCAGACTCTGACCTTACTCTAGCTACAGGGCCCAGGCAGATTTAAAAAAAATTAGTATGGATGAGGCAGGAGAATGGCATGAACCCAGGAGGCGGAGCTTGCAGTGAGCCAAGATTGTGCCACTGCACTCCAGCCTGGGCGACAGAGCGAGACTCTGTCTCAAAAAAAAAAAAAAAAAAAAAAATTAGTATGGATGGAGACAGAGCAAGATGGCCAAATAGTAGCCTCCATCAATCATCCTCCCTGAAGGAACACCAAATTGAACAACTATTCACAGAAAAAAAAGCACCATCATAAGAACCAAAAATCAGGTAAGTGACCACAGTACCTGGTTTTAACTTCATATTGGTGAAAGAGGCACTGAAGAAGTAGGAAAGGCAGTCTTGAATTGCCAGTGCCATCCCTTCCCCATCCCCTGCAGCAGCTGCATTGTTCAAAGAGAGAATCTATGTGCCTGGGGAAGGGAGAGCACAGTGATTGTTAGACTTTACACTGAAACTCAGTCTTGCCCTGTCACAGCAGAAAGCAATACAGGCAAAACTCAATGGAGGGTGAATTCAGGCCAGCCCTAGCCAAAAGGGAATCACCCATCCCAGAAGTCAGAACCTGAATTCTGGCAAGGCTTATCACCCTGGCTAAAGTACTCTGAGGTCCTAAATAAACTTGAAAGGCAGTCTAGGCCACAAGGACTGCAATTCTTGGGAAAGTCCTGGTGCTGTGCTGGGCTCAGAGACAGTGAACTTGGGGGCATGTGACCTAGTGAGACCAGCTCATGTGCACCATCTCTTCCACAACCACAGGCAACACAGCTCACAGCTCCAAAAGAGACTCCTTCCTTCTGCTTGAGGAGTGGAGAGGGAAGAGTAAAGAGAACTTTGTCTTGCAACTTGAATACCAGCTCAGCCATAGTAGGATAGGGCATGAGGCAGAGTTCTGAGGCCCTATCTCCTGGATGCCCAGATGACATTTCTAGACACACCCTGAGCCAGAAGAAAAACCCTTCCTTGAAGGGAAGAACCCAGTCCTGGCAGGATTCATCATCTGCTGACTAAAGAGCCCTTGGGCCCTGAATAGTCAAGAGTGGTAGCCAGGTAGTACATGCTGTGGGCCTTGGGTGAGACTCTAACCACAGTGGAATAAAACTAGAAATCATTAACAAGAGAAACTTTGGAAACTATACAAACACATGGAAATTAAACAACATGCTCCTGTTCCTGAATGGCCAATAGGTCAATAAAGAAATTAAGAAGGAAACTGAAAATTTTTTTGAAACAAGTGATATTGGAAACACAACATACTAAAACCTATGGGATATAGCAAAAACAGTGCTAAAAGGGAAATGTATAGTTATAAGTGCCTACATCAAAAAAGAAGTAAAACTTCAAATAAGCAATCTAATAGTGTATCTTAAAGATTAGAAAAGCAAGAGCAACCCAAACACAAAATCAGCAGGAAAAAATAGTGAAGATGAAAGCAGAAATAAATGAAGAAAACAATACAAAAGATCAATGAAACTAAAAGCTGATTTTTTGAAAAGATTAAAAACAATCAACAAAACTTTAGCCAGATTAAGAAAAAAAGACAGAAGACCTACATAAATAAAATCAGAGATGTTAAAGGAGATATGACAACCAATACCACAGAAATTCAAAAGACCATGAGAGGCTGCTATGAGCAACTATATGCCAATAAATTGGAAAACCTAGAAAAGATGAATAAATTCCTAGACAAATACAACCTACGAAGATTGAACCATGAAGAAATCCAAACCCTGAAGAGATTAGTAACAAGTAAACAAAAGATCAAAGCTGTAGTAAAAAGTCTCCCAGCAAATAAAAGCCCAGGACCTGATGCCATCACTGCTGAATTTTACCAAATATTTAAAGAAAAACTAATACTACTCCTACTCAAACTATGCCAAAAAATAGAGGATGAGGGAATACTTCCAAGCTCATTCTACAAGTCCAGTATTACCCTGATGCAAAAATCAGACAAAGATACATCAATAAAAGAAAACTACAGGCCAATAAAACCATCAATAAAATGCTATCAAACCAGATTCAATAGCATATTAAAAAATCATTCATCATGACCAAGTGGGATTTATCTTAGGAATGCAAGGATGGTTCAACACACACAAATTAATCAATGTGATATATCAATAGAATAAAAGATAAAAAACATATGATTATTTCAATTGATGCTGAAAAAGCATTTGATAAAATCCAATATCCCTTCATGATAAAAACTCTCAAAAAACAGGGTATAAAAAGAACATACCTCAAAATAATAAAAGCCATATAAGACAAACCCACAGTTAGTATCATATTGAACAGCAAAAAAACTGAAAGCCTTTCCTCTAAGATCTGGAACATGACAAGGATGCCCATTTTACCACCATTAATTGGAACTCCTAGCTAGAGCAATCAGACAAGAGAGAAATAAAGGGCATTGAAATTGGAAAGGAAGAAGTCAAATTTCCTTGTTTGCAGATGGTATGATCTTACATTTAGAAAAACCTGAAGACTCCATCAAAAAACTATTAGAACTGATAAACAAATTTTGTAAAGTTACAGGATACAAAATCAACATACAACAATCAGTAGCATGTCTATATGCCAACAATGAACAACATGAAAAATAAATCAATGAAGCAATCCCATTTATATTAGCTACAAATAAAATAAAATAAAATACCCAGGAATTAACCAAAAAACTGAAAGATCTCTACAATGAAAACTATACAACATTTATGAAAGACATGGAAAAGGACACAAAGAACTCAAAGATTCTTCCATGTTCATGGATTGGAAGAATTAATACTGTTAGAACGTTCATACTACTGAAAGAAATCTACAGATTCAATGCCATCTCTATCAAAATACCAATGACATTCTTCACAGAGAGAAAACAATCCTAAAATTTATATAAAACCACAAAAGACACACCATAGCCAAAGCTAACCTAAGCAAAAAGAAGAAAACTAGACAAATTACATTATCCGACTTCAAGTTATACTACAAAGCTACAGTAATGGTACTGTACAAAACAGCATGGTACTCTGGTTTTAAAAACAGATACATAGACTAATGGAACAGAATAGAGAACCCAGAAACAAATTCATACCTCTACAGCAAACTCATTTTTGACAAAGGTGACAAAAACATACATTGGGGAAAGGATCTCCTCTTCAATAAATGATGCTGGGAAAACTGGATAGCCATCCACATGCAGAAGAATGAAATTAGATCCCTATCTCTCACAATATACAAAAATCAAATCAAAATGAATTAAAGACTTAAATCTAAGACCTCAAACTGTGAAACTACTACCAGAAAACATTGGGAAAACTCTCTAGGACATTGGACTGGGCAAAGATTTCTTGATTAATACCCTACAAGCAAAGGCAACCAAAGCAAAAACGGGCAGATGGGATCACATCAAGTTAAAAAGCTCTGCACAGCAAAAGAAACAACCCACAAAGTGAAGAGACATCACACAGAATGGGGAGAAAATATTCACAAACTGTCCATCTAACAAGGGATTAATAACCAGAGTATGTAAGAGCTCAAACAACTCTATAGGAAAAAATCTAACAATCTGACTTTTAAATGGGCAAAAGATCTGAATAGATATTTCTCAAAAGAAGACATGCAAAAGGCAAACAGGCATATAAAAAGATGCTCAACATCATTGATCATCAAAGAAATGCAAATCAAAACTACAATGAGATATCATCTCGCCCCAGTTAAAATGGCTTTTAACCAAATTCAGTCAATAACAAATGCTGACAAGGATGTGAAGAAAAGGGAACCTTCATCCATAGGTGGTACAATCCATAGTGGTTGTAAATTAGTACAACCACTATGGAGAACGGTTTGGAGGTTCCTCAAAAAACTAAAAATAGAGCTAACATATGATCCAGCAATCCTACTGCTAGGTGTATACTCAGAAGAAAGGAAATCAGTATATCAAAGAGATATCTGTACTCCCATGTTCGCTGCAACACTGTTCACAATAGCCTATATTTGGAAACAACATAAGTGTCCATCAAGAGACAAATGGATAAAGAAAATGTGGTGCATATACACAATCAAGTACTATTCAGTCATAAAAAAGAATGATATCCTTCCACTTGCAAAAACATAGGCAGAACTGGAGGGCATTATGTTAAGTCAGGCACAGAATGACAAATTTTGCATGTTCTCACTTATTTGTGGAAGCTAAAAATAAAAACAAACCCATGGAGATAGTAGAAAGATAATTACTAGAGGCTGGGAAAGGTAATGGGGGAATGGGGAGTGGGGATGATTAATGGGTACAAAATCATACTTAGAATGAATAAGGCTTAGTATTTGATAGCACAAAAGAGTGCCTACAGTGAACAATAATGTATTATACATTTTATAATAACTAAAAGTATAATTGGACCATTGTAACACAAAGAAAGGGCAAATAATTGAGGAAATGGATGCTCCACTTACCCTGATGTGATTATTAGGCATGTGTGCCTGTACCGAAATATCTCAAGTACCCCATAAATATATATACCTACTGTGTACCCACAAAAATTAAAAATTAAAAAGAAATTCAATTAGTTTACGTTAGTTACCACACAGTGATGGATGATCCAGAAGAACTCTGAGTTGAAGAGAAAAACTAACGATAAATTTTGAAGTCACTAAGGATAATCCACCTGTGGTTAATCAAGTGGTCACACAGATAAGCCATTTATATTTTACTCCACTTTAAATGTCCCAAACTGCAAGTGGTGACTCTGAGCATCAGCAGTCTGCTCATAGGTATGCTGGGTGGTCTCTACATTGGCATCCTAAATGACTTATTAATACATGTACCATCATTCCTTTTGTGTTTAGAGATGTTTAAAGGGAGAAGGAGGATAAGAGTTAAGATAAAGGAGTTATGAACAAACTCTGCAAGCTATTCTGAGGGCATAGAGTCTTTTACAATATACTTTTCTCTCATTAAAAACAACTTTACTGTATACTATGCCATATACATTCCAAGGATAGCTTGATCACTTATATTACTCAAATACAAATTATTTTTGTTACTAATTATAATAGAATAACTACTTCAAACAGATACAGCCTTCCTCCCAGTCCATTTATTTATATTCTAAAACACAGTATATTTCTTGTTACTTTCCATTCTTTACCTCAGTTGAAGAGGCAGGAAATATCTCATCCTTTGTTCCAGGAGAAAGCACCATTATCACCTATCCTGTAAATCAAAACAACCCCTAAGGTCTAAAGTTTCATTTCCAAAACCACCTCTCACATAGAGTCTATTATTTGGTTGGAGAAAAAAGACGTTAACTGCCATGGCCCTAGGACCTAAGCTTATTTTGTCTGAGCCAAATATTAATAAGACTACAGTTCCTAGCAGAAAAGCATAATAAGCAATCCTCCAGCAGCTATAGTCAGTCCTTTACTAAGGTTATTCCAAAAGATACCATAGGAAGCACAAAACTAGTATTAAGTATAATAGTTCTCTTTCTATGATTTCAAGGAAAAGGGATATATAAATAAACTCTTAAGTAGATTTAAAAATAAAAAAGCTATAAATCTATTCAAAATTTAAATAAGCAACTGGCTAGAGTTAATAATGATCCTGATATCTTCAAAATTAATAGAAATAAAAAGTAATAGAAAATGTTCTAAGAATGAAAAATCTAGAGGCAAGCATACACCTCCCAAGCAAAAAATCTAATGTTAGACATTAAAACCTATGCATGCTCGCTCTCTCTCTCTCTCTCTCTCTCTCTCTCCACCTTCCCAAATGACCTTCAAATAATTTATCCACAGGAATCCAAGTATCAAGGAAAAAACTTTGCACACAAAAATGAATATTCAAATACACACTATGGGAAAGGGAAAAGCATTTCTACTGAAATGGAATATGGCAGCTATTTAAAGCTAATACATTTATGACTAGTATAAACCATTATTGATTGAGATTATTAAAGAGAAACCAAATGCCAAGTTCCAAAATAAAATTTGGAAACATTCCAGAACATTTCTAAAATTGTGTGTCCTGTGGAGCATAAATTTATAATCGAATACTATTTGCCAAGAAACTGACAGAGATTCTAACATTACCGAATTACTTTTATGAAGGATGACTTCTAGAGAAACCATAATAATGCTATACATCTTAAATGCATTTTTTAAACACAGAAAAATAAAGCTTGTTTGCAAACCATATGGCTGATTGAATTAATTCTCAATTCCCTAATGACAATTTGTATCTGTTTTGTCCCCCCAAAAACGGCCATAGACATTTTAACATGAAAAGAAAAGATGTGGCTGTGCCAGTCATACTGCACAGATGGTAAAGCAAATCTTGGTCCTCTAAGCTTCTCCATTATTGTACACTTTTCCCTTCTGCAGCTTTCAGACTATACAGTGTCCCTTGGTTTCATCTTTTCCCTAGTCCCCCCACCAAAATGTATTTGCAGTATGGCTCTAATATCACCATTTTGTTCCTTTGTCAATTTAAGCCATGTGTTGCTACTCTCAATCTCTGCTATATGAACTGCTATTTGTCCTGGTTGAAGTAATTTGAGCATTCAGGGAACAAGTGGGGAAGTAATGAGGCTATGTAAAATGAAATCTTACTATTAGACTGATCATTCTGTTTTCCTATAAAGCCAGCCTTGCTAAAAGGAAAGTAATTCTTACATTTGAAATTGCTTCATGAACTAACTCAACTCCATGCAAAATTAGCAGCTTCTATTCTTACATCAATGTTCCTCCATCTTTTTATCTAGTGACCCCACTCAGTGACTCTGAAGAAGGCAGCTCACAATTTCTATCACCTCCTATGAAAAAGAAGTATGCAGGAATATAAAAGCATGTTTTTTATTAATGTGAAAGAAGGCAGTGATCTGAGGAACCCAGAGAAGGGAACTCTGGGAACGGTGATAAACCACACACACTCACAATGAAGAGATAGCTCTGTTTTCCAGCCCAAGCTCGGGCATTCACTGTGTTACAGAAATCCTAGTTCTCTCTTTGTCATTTATAATTGAGAGGTGGAGGTGCCACAGATGTTTAGTAGCTATGGAGGCAAGGATTAAAAACTTAAACGCCTACAAGAGCTCTGAAGCACACAGAAATAAGTGCAATGAACCAGGCGAATGAAATGGGAGGAGTGGTAGGCATTTGGGAGGTTGCAAGCCACTCCTACAGGTAGCATCTGTGGCTCAGCTACACTGTTGTCATGCAGTGTTGCCAGATCATCACTTGTTTGTTGTTGTTTTTTTTCCCAAGAAACTAGAAATACAGATTTTTATGTAGAACTTGTTAGCAACTTCTGGTAATTCAAACAATTTTTTTAAACACTGGTTGCTTTAAAAAAACAACTCTAGATGAGCCAAACTAAAGTCATCACTTTTCAGGGTGTGTTCCACTGGTCACCACTTTGGTGCATCTATTATGTAGTTATAACCATCTGGCCCAATCCCTGGTGATCTTCTCAATGAGATTTGATCTATGGAACTCAGAGGGGTTGAGTCAAATGATGAATAATTTTATGTGTCAACTTGGTGAATATTTTTTGGATGGGATTCACATTTAAGTCTGCAAATTTGGGGTAAAGCAGATCACCGTCCACAATGTGGGTAGGTCTTATCCAATCAGTAGAAGACCTGAATAGAACAAAAAGACCAGCATCCCCAAGCAAGAGGGAATTCTGGAGAAGACTGATTTCAGACATCAACTGCACCATCAGTTCTCCTGGGTCTCTGCCTGCCAGTCAACACTACAGATTTTGAACTCACCAACATCCATAATCATGAGCCAATTCTTAATAATAAATCTCTTTCTCTCTATATCTGTATATACACATATCATATTAGTTCTGTTTCTCTGGAGAACCCTGACGAATACAAGTGATTTGGCTGAAGTCACATAGCTAGTTTGGGGCACACACACAAAAATTTTCTAATTCCCTTTCTAGAGTATATTTCGGTATACTGTACTAGAACAGTAATCCTGGTAGAGTGAGTGATGATATATCTTGGCAGCTCCCCAAGATGATCCTTATGCATGCCAAAGTTTGAGAATCCTGTAGTAATTAAGAGGCAATACAGATTAGTGCACAAGAGCACAGATTCCGAAACCAAAATGCCTGAATTTAAAGCTCAACTCTACCACTTACTAGATATGTGAGTGGCCTTGGACAAGTTACATAGCTCCTGTGCTTGAGAGTAGAGTACATTTCACAGCTCACATTATCTCTGTGGTGTGAGGATTGAATGAGGTAAGGGTGTAAATATTCATACATAGTTGGCATGTAATAAATAGTAGCTATTATTACTAAACTCTCCTGCTATGAGTGTTCTGGCATATTTTCACTATCATGCTAACTTGACATTTATAGTGACCATCAGAGTGTCACATCTTGAAGTGTGCCACTTGAAAGATTTTGAAATACTTTCTAAAGCAAAGATCAATGTGGTTAGATGCCATGTGTTTCATTTAATGCAATTTTAGAATAAGGTGTATAGTTTAGTTTGGAGCAAACTTGTCTAACCCATGGCCTGTGGCTGCATGTGGTCCAGGACAGCTTTGAATGCGGCCCAACACAAATTCGTAAACTTTCTTAAAATATGATGAGTTTTTTTTTGCGATTCTTTTTTTTTAGCTCATAAGCTATGGTTAATATTAGTGTATTTTATGTGTGGTCCAAGACAATTCTTCTTCTAATGTGGACCAGGGAAGCCAAAAGATTAGACACCCCTGCTTTATAACTTGGTGACCTGGTACAAAAGGAAACTAGAAATAATATGGATTCATAGAATATTTAAGTTTTCTTCCTCACCAAAAAAAAAGGCTAATTAACTCATATGTAAACTTTTTATCCCACCAAACCCTTAACCAAAGAGTTGTTATCAGCTAATAAAATGAAACTATACAAATATAAAAGCTACTAGACAAGGGAAGCCACATGAGAGAAAATTGAGATAAGCCAGAAATATGATGGTCTTTTTGATCATTTAGAACCAGAAATAAACTTGGGATCACTTTGCATTTGATTTTGTCAAGATTAAAATTAGTCTATTAATAACGTGGATCTGCTTCAGGACAACTTAAAACATGGAAAATATTTGATAGATCTTGTATGATAAAATTAAATCACTGAGGATAAAAAATAAAAATAATGGAAACCAACAATTATCACAGAATTTAACTTTGGATAGAAGGAATATGCTCAAGAAAATAAGGAAGGGCATGGGCAAAATAAGGCATTTGGCATAAAAAGTAACATTCCTCCATTTAGAGCTTGAAGCAGGATGAGGGGCTCTCTGGGAGGGATTATCCTGGTTGAGCAGAGGCCAATAGGCTCCGAGTCGGGAGGCTGTTCCCTGTAGATGAGATGGTCTGAGAATATGTGAGGGAATCAGCAAACTGGCAACTATATCCAAGACTAGAATGCCAATGGTCACAACTTAACAGCCTAAGGTCAGACTAACATATCTACATGTATCCAATATCATGCAAAATCCACCAACTTTATACTAGTGAGAGGCTTCTAAAACAAAGAAAGAAGCAAGAATAAAGAAGCTACAAAAAAAGAGATTTCACCAGAACTAAAACCCTTCATCCACTGGCCCATTCAACTAGCAATTATAAAGGTCAACCCTCTGCAAGGTACTATCCAAAGGAAAACAAAACAAAAGACATGGCCTCTGCCTCAAAAAGTCATAATCTAGTAGAAGGATACAACATAAAGAACTTACACACAAGAAATAATTATAACACAAAGGAACAATCACAGTGCTTTAAGTGAGTTTCAGTACTCTAGCAGAGTTAAAGAAAGAAAAGATAATTCCTAGTGGAAGTGAGTTGGAAAAAAATGTATGGAATTAAAAGCTTTTAAAAAGGCCTGAATAGTTGGGCTTGACTTGATTATAAGATAGAAGGAGAACAATATCAAAAGAGGTGGCACAAGCAAATGCCTATGAAGGGAAAAACAGAGAATAACCAAGTAAAGAAAGTAGTTGACATGGGTAAAGACTTCATGACAAAAACACCAAAAGCAAGTGCAACAGAAGCCAAAATTGATAAATGGGATATAATTGAACTAAAGAGCTTCTGCATAGCAAAGAAAATTATCATCAGAGTGAACAGGCAACCTACAGAATGGGAGAAAATTTTTGCAATCTACCCATCTGACAAAGGTCTAATATCCAGAATTTACAAGGAACTAAACAAATTTACAAGAAAAAAACAAACGACCTCATCAAAAAGTGGTCAAAGGATATGAACAGACACTTCTCAAAAGAAGACATTTATATGGCCAACAAACATATGAAAAAAAGCTCGACATCACTGATCATCAGAGAAATTCAAAGCAAAACCACAATGATATACCACCTCATGCCAGTCAGAATGGCGATTATTAAAAAGTCAGGAAACAGCAGATGCTGGCAAGGCTGTGGAGAAATAGAAATGCTTTTACGCTGTTGGTAGGAATGTAAATTAGTTCAACCATTGTGGAAGAAAATGTGGCGATTCCTCAAGGATCTAGAACTAGAAATACCATTTGACCCCGTAATCCCATTACTGGGTATATACCCAAAAGATCATAAATCATTGTACTATAAAGACACATGCACATGTATGTTCACTGCAGCACTATTTACAACAGCAAAGACATGGAACCAACCCAAATGCCCATCAATGACTGACTGGATAAAGAAAATGTGGAAAATGTGGTACATATGTTTACTGAAGCACTATTTACAAAGCATAGACTTGTAACCAACCCAAATATTCATCAATGATAAACTGGATAAAGAACATGTGGCACATATACACCATGGAATACTATGCAGCCATAAAAAAGAATGAGTTCATGTCCTTTGCAGGGACATGGATGAAGCTGTAAGCTATCATTCTCAGCAAACTAACACAGGAACAGAAAACCAAACACCACATGTTCTCATTCATAAGTGGGAGCTGAACAATGAGAACAAATGGACACAGGGAGGGGAACATCACACACCGGGGCCTGTCAGAGGATGGGGGGCAAGGGGAGGGAGAGCATTATGACAAATACCTAATGCATGTGAGGCTTAAAACCTAGATGACGGGTTGATAGGTGCAGCAAACCACCATGGCACATGTATACCTATGTAACAAACCTGCACATTCTGCACATGTATCCCAGAACTTAGGGTAAAATTAAAAAATAATAATAAAAAGTTTAAAAAAGGAAAGGAAAAAAAAGAAAATGTGGTACATATATACCGTGGAATACTATGCAGCCATAAAATGGCATGAGATCATGTCCTTTGCCGGCACATGGATGAAGCTGGAAGCCATCATCCTCAGCAAACTAACACAGGAACAGAAAACCAAACACTGCATGTTCTCACTCATAAGTGGGAGTTAAATAATGAGAACACTTGGACACAGAGAGGGGAACAACACACACCAGGGCCTGATGGGGGATGGGGGAGTAAGGGGAGGAAAGATCAATAGGAGCAGCAAACCACCATGGTACACATATACTTATGTAACAAACCTGCATGTTCTGCACATGTATCCCATTTCTTTTTTTTTTTTTAGAAGAAATAAAGAAAAAAATTAGATAAAAAATAAAAATAAAGTAGTTGAATCAACCAGGACACAGAGTTCTGGCTAGAGTTATAGGAACAAGGCTGGACTCACACCAGACTGTCAAGGACCATCACTGCAAAGCTGCAGTGTTTGGGTTTTATTTGGTAGGCACTAGGAAGCCACCAAAGGCTTTTACCTGATCCCATCTGGGTTTGATCTATCTGATGAGTGTCTGCAAAGCTGTATTAAGAAAAGACTGAGAGCCAGGAGAAAAGCTAGGAGACTCCTACAACTATCTAGAAGAGTGGTGGTAACAGATGCTTAAACTAAGGTAAAGCGTATAGGAAT
Organism: Homo sapiens; assembly: GCF_000001405.40. Classification (NCBI taxonomy): domain Eukaryota; kingdom Metazoa; phylum Chordata; class Mammalia; order Primates; family Hominidae; genus Homo; species Homo sapiens. The sequence continues at coordinate 197,955,090 of NC_000002.12, read as the reverse complement.
GGGAAGGAAAAGACTGATGGAAATGATACCTGTTCCTAAAATGTAGCATATTCTGATAGTAACTGGTATATACACCGCCTAGAAAATGAATACATATCATGCCCTCTGGAATTAGAAACTGTTTCTAATTCCAGGATGATAATTCTCCACATAGCTTCCTCTTAAATTCTTAAAATACTTTTTAAATGTTTCCTCTTGAAGAGACAATTTCCTGTAATACACTTTAGCCTCCAAATTAAAATAAATCAAAATTATCACTGATTGTTAGTTCCTAGATTCTGTCAGAGGTTCTTTCCTAACTGCCATGTAGAGAAAGAACAAAGATGGTTAGAAATAGTGCATATCCCAGAATACCAAAAACAGTCCCTGTCATTAATGAACTTAAGTGTGAAATTCATAGAAGTCAGTAGCTACTATCACTTACAAAGCTAGTCGTTTCTGAATATAATCATACTTCAGCAAAGAAGCGCCTCCAAAACTATTATTCTCAAGTGCACACGCATTACATGATGCCATCGTATTATACTAAATTAGCATATAATTCTTGACACCCACTATGATGCTTGCTCATGAAAGAAACCACAGATGCTGAAAAACCATAGAGATTAAAATCTCTCCTGATCATTTTGAAGGAAACAGGAGGCAAGACATCTGAGAAACTAACCTGAAGCTCTCTGCAGGCCTTCCTGTCTTTAAATTCTATTCCAACACAGTGAACAACATAAAGTGTGGTCAGTTTTCTGCTATTTACAAAATGTTTTGTGATCAAACCTCAGAAAGCAAATCTCCAATTATTTGGCATTTGAGAATTCCAGCTTTTAAGTTGAAATGAAACTTGCATTTCGTTTCACTTCACTCAGTCACCTCATTCTAAGGCCAAGAGAAAAAGAGGATCAAGAGCCTTTAGCTGGTATGGAAAAACATAAGGCATTTCATGCCAGTTTATTGCCCTCCATATTGTCTCTCATGAGCTTTCAGTTCTAAATATCCATGTATCCAAATGATAGGATGTCAGTCCCAGTATTATGTAGTCAGTCACAGTTGAGTCAGAAAATTTTTTAAAAACAAACAGCCATGTACACACAGGGCAAAATTATTTCAGTTCTGTCCCATCATGGAGATGTGTATTGTTGCCAAGGTGTAGACCAGTAAAAATACATGCAGATTTATTCTACTGTGGCATTGGTGACTACTCAGGAAGCTAGCAAAAATAGAGCAATATTTTAGAAAAAAAAAAAACTCTGGAATACACGAAGAACTGTTTAAAACACTTAGAAAAGATAACAAAAACACATAGAAAAAATGTTGATCCTTAGATGTCTGAGATATAATTCAGTTTGGTAGGAGAATATCAATATATTTTTCAATCCAGATGCTTCTAAAATTGAGTAAATGATGAGATGTTCATTACTGATATATTAATATATAAGTAAGAGCATGATTGTGGTCCATTTAGAACCTTCAGACCTGAACTCCAATATGCCTCTAGGAATCAGAATCACAGGTTCTCAATCAATAACTCAACCACCCTAAGGTAACATGCAATAATTCCCAATTACCCTGAGGAATTAACCTCTGAGCAAAATGGCAGACAAGCAACTTGCACTCAGCCTGTGCATCATCATTTAGTGATTCTTGGTTGATATCAAGACTCTTCCACAGCTAGGTTAAGTCATGATCCATGGGGGGCTTCCAGAGGTTTTCTGTTCCCTTGGGATTAACACAGCACCCACTGCCCACACCACAACTAAAGGCAGGTAAGAAGGTAACTCATATAGGCAAGGAGTCCAGTTTGAAGGAAGCAGCACTGGTAAGTGTCTTCTGGGTTTATTAGAATGGTACGGAAAACCAAACTTTGGAAATTATATAGACAAAAGAAGCTTCAGAGTCAGCAAACCCGAGTTACATCTCCGCATTAGTCATATGACCTCAGCCAACCTGATTAACTTCTCTGTATGTTATCTCTAAGGATAACAATACCTACTTCATAACATTGTTCTCAAAATTGAATTCAATGAGATACAGTGTGGAGGCACCAGCTATATCTGGCACAGGGCAGCTCTCTACAAATAGTGCCTATTCTTACAGTGCATGAAGGCATGGTATTAGTCCGTTTTCATGCTGCTGATAAAAACATACCCAAGACTGGGTAACTTATAAAGGAAAATAGGTTTAATGAACTCACAGTTCCACATGGCTGGGGAGGCCTCACAATCATGGCGGAAGGTGAAAGGCATACCTTACATGGCAGCAGGCAAGAGAGAATGAGAGCCAAGTGAAAGGGGAAACCCCTTACAAAACCATCAGATCTCATGAGACTTATTCACTACCACAAGAACAGTATGGGGGAAACCGCCAACATAATTCAGTTATCTCTCACTGGGTCCCTCCCACAACATGTGAGAATTATGGGAACTACAACTCAAGAAGAGATTTGCCAACCATATTAGGCATGATTCATCCACACAAGTGCAATGATGTAGGATCCCCACAAGAAAATAGACTTGAGATAAAATACTGCTTACCAAGAATGGTTATGGACAGGCTCTCCAATAAAAGAATTTCAGCATCAATAAATTTAATGACGTTTACTGCTGGCACCTGGGTGCTGCTTCCACAAAAAAATTTTCCTTCTTGCTATGCACCTTCAATCCACAACTAACTCATCTGGTGAATTAAAAGCCAAGTGCTAACTGAAAAGACCAACAAAATAGGCCATTATTGATGAATTTCACTTCAGCACAGAGCAGGTTATCACATTCTTGAACTAATCACTAGCAGGGTACTAACTTAGGGCTGGGAAGGTTTAAGATAGGACATAAATAAAGTTAAAAGTCTAGAGAATGTCCCTTGACTTCCTGAAAGAGCACTTTCTTGAACACCAGGGAATCCCACAGAGAAGAAAAGAGGCTATCACGGGATAGAAGGATTGTAAAGAAAACTTTCACTGCTAAATTATGTTGCCAATAAATAGTCTTGAGTGTAAACACCCAGGCTGTTCTCATTCAGGTTTGAGAAAGGACTTGTTTGCTCAGTTAGGGGTCACAGTGACAGGATCCTATCAGTCCTGGTAAATTAATCACGAATGCTTATTACAAAGACAGAATGAGTTTCGACAACTGTCCTGCTAATCAAAAGAGACAGATTAGTCTCCAGGTTTCTGGACTGGCCTTGTGAACAATTAAATATTTATCAGAAGACAATAAATCACTCAATCAATCAATGGGATTTCTACCAACACAAGTTCATGTTCCTCAGTCACGTCCCACAAGCAACCAGTTCAGAGTGTTTTAAACCTCAGAATTATTTTGATGACAACAGTCTTCTAGTCTTTAATAAAACGTCCTTCCTATGGACAGTGCCTATGTGTTCGCTGGAATTTCTGTTGTTGTAAAGTGACAGAAATCCAGATTAGATTACTTTAAAGCAAAATTAAAATATATTAGAAGAATGCTAAAATAGCCTGTGTTATTAAGGGATTGAACACTCAAACTACAGGAGGTATGCTTCTCTCCACAGTCTGACCTTCTCACTGCAGACCGGCTTCCTCCTCTGGCAGCAAACCTGGCTGTCAGAAGCTCCTGGGTTTCACCTCTTATAAATTCCACAGCCAAAGGAACTGACTCTTTTCTAATACGCTTGAAAATTTCAGGGGAAGAGCCAGCTTAATTCAGGTACCCAACCTGCACAGTCCACTGTGGCCCTGGTAAGACAGCAAATGGAAGCAGGGAAAGAGCAGGGTCATGTGAAGCACAAGGCAGTATCCACTGGACACTCGAGTCATTCCCAAAGGGAAGAGAGTGCTGTTGCCAGAAGAAAGGCTGGAGGAAGGGCTGCACAGACAATAGCAGACCATTATAGGTACTTACATGCAATTTTATTTCAGAGATAAGTATGGCATGAAAACATGTATGTTTGTTCATTTTGTAATTATACCTCCACCAAACTTAATCATGGACCATAAGTTCTATAGCCATTCCAGTCATGTAACCTATTGTATCCCTGACCTTCTTAGCCCACTAGTTCCATCATTCCCATCTCCAGACTCTTAGCTAGAACACAAACAGCCTCCTAAGTAGCAACTTCTACAGAAGGGAACACAATACAATATTTCACAACCATGCTTCTCCTGTCTAAAGCAGCCCTCAGGCGAGAATTATTTTCCTGCTATTCTAGGTGTCTAATTCTGGCCTCAGATAACCTAAGCAGTTTTTGCAATGCAATTTTATTACTGGAAACAACTTCATTATAGGAGAATATTAGGCAACTGCTCTAGTGAAGTCAAAAGGTTAATATCCACATATAAACCACATTCCTATCTTACAATTCTGCCTACTTAGATTTAGTAAAATCTGAAGTAGCAAAATAGACTCAGTAAAAATATTAAAATATATTTTTTAATTCTATTATATTAGCAATTGTAAATATTTCCTCCAAAAACATGTGTGCTGACTGTGACGTTTTCGTCATGTAGAGTACTTTCAAGGCACTGGTTCTAGGAGTTACAATACGGCTACTAGTGAATCTTCTATTGCTTCTTCCTCTCTTCGGTGACCTTTTAAAGTTACCTGATATACCATATTCCTTTCTGGTTTAAATCTATCTGATCATGCAATATATGGTCTTTGAAAAACAAATGCCCCACCCATGCTTATGCTCAGGAAAACAATTTCCCTGAATATTAGTCATGTCTGATCTCCCTTCCCTGGTTATTAGAGGTCTGGCTGAATTCAGGTGCTGGACGGGGTACGAGAGACCCCCAGCTGTGGAACTGAAGAACTGGTCTCCCACAAAGCTGAGAGGGGCAAGAGAAGGAGAACAAGATCCAAAACAGAGAAAAGTCAAACAAAGGACACTCTACTAGTTGGAAGCAGCCAGTGGAGAGGCCCCTGAGTCAGAAGCACGGGTTTAATGAAACATCCAGCAAAGCTGAAGATGAGCCAAATCACTTTAACAGAGAGAGAACCCTAAATTTTGTCAAGAGAAATTGTCTTTGCTATCCAAAATGTTATAATGCAAATGTGACCTGGATTTGGAGTCTTCTGCCAAAGCTCTGCCCCAAGTTTCTGAGGATTCCCTAGGTACATGCAATGGTGGAGGTGGAGGCAGAACTTGCATTCTCAAAGTCATCTCAACTCCCACTTCCAATAGCCCTCTCTATTCTCCACCATTACACTGGATATGAAGCTCAGACTTTCTTGAGTTCCCCACTCATAAATCCCACGCACACAATGCATCCATTAATATAAGAGACTTTATAAATTATTTAAAGGGAAGCATAAGGGAGTTTACATTTCAGCAAAGTAAACAATTTCCAACTGAACATTGAACATCTCCCTTCTTAAATTAGTTTTCAGCCATCCTACCACTATGTTATTTCCTCAGGTCCCTTCACCCTGAAGTTTCTCTCTCCTCCCCTTTCCCTCTGTTTACCTCCTTAGAAAGAGAACAATGAATTCCCCTTGTTATGTAAGGGTATCAACCTAGCCATTCTCCTCTGCTACCCTGAGTCTAGCTTCTGATTTGTTCTCTGGTTTCCTTTTGTATCCCTAAGTGAATTATCAAGGTATTTTCACAAATAGGGTTTTTTCCTCCTTGAGAAGAACTTGAGTGACAGCTGTTAAGATCATGAGTTTAACTTTTTACCCCATTACACAAGATTGAAGTGGAATCACTTGTCCCTGGATGGGGTTGATAAGGACAAATGAGTGCAGATGTCCATTTCATAACCTTCAGATACAGCATCCTGGACTAGGGAGAGATTCCACCTGCTCATTCACAAATCTGGGCATCTGAATATAGTCTGGGAACAGTTCTCAGCAGCCTCTCTGATCTCCCTAGTTGTAGAATTGATTCTCCTTAACAAATTCTCCAAAAACAAATTCTGACTTCTGGTTTATCAGAAAAGGCACTCATAGACAGATGTTCATCATCTGTGAAATCTCAGATAATCAGGTATGATCCCAACTAGATTATCATACACAGCACCAAGCTGGCTTATGGGAGTTCTTGCCTCTGATCTCTGAACATTCCCCCTGGCAGGCTCTGGCATGCAGAGAAGCAGGAGGACTTTCTGTGAAGGCAGATCCCAAACTTGGGCTGATTTTGCTGAAATCACACAGATTATACTGGCTCATGACAAAGGGCAAACATATGATCAGAGACATGGGACTAGAAACCCACAGGGGTCTTAGATCCTATTTACTGCCCCTTTACCAAGGATAACCCAAGGAACACAACACCGTTTATACCAAAACCCTCTGCCCCTTTTGATTCAGTGGATTCATTCTACAGTTACTTTATGGTAATAATTGAGACATAATCTTTAACCACTGGATATTTGATGTTCCCTATACAATATGATCTGAACCCACATCTTTCATCAAAATGCTAAATGGGATTGATATATAAAAGTGAGTTCATGCATTCATTCATTCAACAACTATACACTGAGTGCCTACCATGTTCCACTATGCTCACAGGTTTAAACCTCTAGAAAGTTCCTACTCTGATTCTATTTACCCCTTTAGAAAGCCAAATATTTGCCATGGGTGGTAGTGAGTGAAAACAAAAAAAAAAAATTAAGCCACACATTACAGGAAAGTTTACATATTTCAAAATGCATATAAAGTCCACATAAAAAATAATCCTATCCCAGCTAGCTATCACAAGCCTGTCAAAGGAGTAAGGCAACTGTCTACCCTCAGTCCCACTCCCTTTCTCTAAAAACAACCTGGTTCTTAACTGTTCCAAAAAGGCATCTTGGAGTTAATAAATCCAAAACAAAATTTTGTCATTTCTCCATAAACCTGTTTCTACTCCAGCGTTCTTAGTTAACAGTGTCACCTTTCACCAGTTAAAAGGTTACCTTGGAGCCATCTTTGAATTCACTCACTCTCTCACTGCTCATATCCTCCCATCCATCAGCAAATCCTTTCTGTTCTACCCCCAAAATCCCATCTACCATCCTGTTTCTCATTTCTCATCATCCCCATCACTATCACATAAAATAAGCCAACATCACTTTTAACCTGGACAATTATGACATTTTCTGACTGTTCTCCTCACTCATTCTTAATCTCTTACAAAATCCATTCTACAACCAGCAGCCAGAAACTACCCCCTAATTATGTCCTCTACTGCTTAAAACTCCCCAATGGTTTTCATGACACTTGAAATAAAATCTTAACTTCCCATGGCTGCAAAGGACCCCTATCCATCATTCTCAGCCTTTGCTGCTTAGTAGAATCATCTCAGGAGTTTTGAAAAATACTTAAGTGCCACCCAGATTAATGAAATCTGAGTCTCTCTCTTGGGGTGGGCTCCAGTATGGTTGGAGGTTTTTGTTAAGTGTGCACTCAGAGCAGAGGATAATCACTCTGCATGGCAGATCTTCAGACTATCTTCCTCTCTGCTTTTATCTGCTGCCACTGTCTCCATTCATTACATTGCAGCCTCAGAGCCTTTTTGCTTTCTTCAAACCACAAACAGCTTCTCTACTTTGCACATTCCCAGCCTACATTCCCCACCACTGCTCATCTTCACATGAATGGTTGCTTCTCGTCATTAAGGTCTCTAACCAAATATCACCTCTTTGCAGAGGCTTTCCAGGATCACCCTCTGCCCAGCTCCAGTGGTTCTCAAAGTGTCTCCAGAGCAGCAGCAGCGGCACCTGAAAATTTGTTTCCCACGCCCCACACCAGGCCCCTACTGAATTAGAAACTCTGGGGACAGGGCCAAACAATCTGTGTTTTAATAAGTCCTGCTAGTAACTCTGATGTACACTAAAGTTTGAGAAGCACTATTTTGCTCATACATAATGTGTATATACATATATATATATATATATATATTTATCTAAGCACCTCTACCCTTTACTCTTTATTACCTGATTTCATCTTTTTCATAGCAGTCATCTGAAATTCTTAATTTTTTAAATTATCTGTCCTCACTCCCCTAAAAGATAAGCTCCATGAAAACGTATGTTCACCCCTATTTGCCCAATGATCAGAATACTATCTGATACACAGTAAGCACTCAATAAATATTTACTGGGTAAATGAACCCATAAGCAAACCCATCTAGTCCCTTCTCCTCCAGAAGCCCTAAGGATTTGCTTTATTTTGTTCTCCTCTAGAGTGGGGGCCCCTGAGGAAGATGTACACAGGGATCTGCAGTAGAAGGTCTCAGAAAGCAATCTCAAAACCCAACCAAACGGCCACACACCAGCCAATTCAGGCTCTTTCAGAAGAGAGGCTTTTTAAATGTTGAACATGCTTGGCTCATATGAATGTGAAGTAATTGCTAGCTGTGACTAATGCACAGCTGGAAGGCCTCATTAAATCACAGGTAATCTGCCAAGGCATTTTTCCAAGGAAAGGAGCCTGCAGGAGCGTTCTACTCAACAGAGTATCTTGAAAGTAGAGAGGAGGCCAGGTACTCAGGGCAAAGGTCAAGACAATCCTGCCCCCAGAGTATATTCTCCCTTGATTCCAGAACTCTGGAAATGTTAGTTATCTGTTCATATATCTTTCTAACTTCCACTAGCACCCTCATTTCCAATAAATAAAAAAAATTGTTTTTAATTTCTTTAAAATATAATGAGGACTTTTGCTTATCTTTGCTTGCCATTTTTCACTTCTTTTTCTGTAAACAGCCTGTTCTTGTAGTTTTCTTTTAGACTGTTTGCCATTTTCCAACTGATTGGTAATTAAACTTACTCTTGTCTATCGTATGTACTGTCATTATTTTTCCCAGTTTCTGTTCCCCTCTCGACTTTGTTTTGGAGACTCCCCTCAGGCAAAAGTTGAAATTTTATTTAGTCAAATATGTCAATCTTCTACTTTAGGGTTTCTGATTTTTCATATAAATAAATAGAAAAGCCTCTTCTACTCCAAATATATAAAACCATTCAATCGTATATCCCACCAATACTTCTATGGCTCTCCTTTTTTTGTTAAAGGTTTAAATCTTATCTATCTGGAGGTCTTTTTTAGTGTTAACGTTGAAGAAATGTTCTAGTTTCATTTTAAAACTCAGTAACCTCAGCATTTAGCATAGTCAAATTGTACATGGTTGACATTAAATTTATATTTGTTAAATTATCAGAGGAGTGACAAAGGTACAAAATAGTTATGAATCACACTCAACAACATATTCTAATAAAAATGTGTGTACATATACATATATTACTTTAATGTAATATTAAAGTGTATTAATATAAATTTTAATAACTGGACAGGTGTTAACCAATGCCAATTTGGTCATCACTTGTTCTATAACAACAGAAACAATAATAATAACTACTGTTTATCTAGCACTTATTATGCTTCACAAAGTATAAGAGCTTTAAACATATTAACTCATTTAATCCTCAAAACAAACTGATGAGGAATTTCTATTTCTATCTTAATTTTAAAGATGAGACTACTGAGGCACCACGAGTTGAAGAAACTTGCTCAAGTTCCCACAATCAGCAATTGACAGAGCAGCAATCTGGGACCACGGCACTCAAGAGCATCCCATGCCTTCACCACTATGTTATCCTGTCTTTAAGAACACTGTTGACCGTGAAATAGAAAAAGCAATTGGTTGTTTGTGCTATTAACATCTAAGGGGTGTATACATTTTACTGGGACATTCTGCATTTCTAATTCTGTGTTTCTAATCTGAAAACTGAATAAGCATGCCCTCATCCCCACCCTCACCTACCTCCCCTAAAAAGCATACGTATCTTAGAGCTCAATGCATTTGGCTAGAATATCTAATAAAGAACCTATGAGGGTCCAACACAGGTAACTCAAAAACTGATATCTCTCTAGACCAACCCACATTCTCCCCGCATCTTTTAAGTTCAAAATCCTGCCATGAACTGCTGTAATTCCCAAGCATCCTCTGATCTGAAATGTGTATATTACAAAGCTGCCGTGACTAATTTGGTCTATATAGCAAGGTCAAAAAGTACTTCCCAGGATCTTATGCTATAAATTAGATTTTAAACATTTAGATAAGATATTAAAACACTCTGAACAATAAGGAATGTCATTGTACAACTCTATAGTTTTTATTTAGAAAAATGAGTAAAACTTTCAGTTTCATGATGGCAAAAGAAAGATACTTTTGCTCTTGTTACTTCTTTCAAAATTCCATAACCACAAAGATGATAGGAAACAAAAACACAAACTCCAGTTTCAATGAAATAAAGAAGTGACTGCAGTCTAACATCTGAAGATGAAAGTAGTTGGAGGAAACAGCAGAGAGAAGAAAAGTCAAGCCAGTGACTACAAGAAGCAAGCTGATTTGTCCCTGGAAATGTTTAAGAAATTGAGATACTGGATACTTTAGAAGCTAAAGGTAAGGGAAGTTGCTAAAATGAATGGGTATTTAGACTTTCCATCATTGGTGAGCTGCAGCTGGCTTATACCGGCTTGCAAGAGTTATTGTTAACGTTTCTTTCCAACTTTGCAGTGACCTCACATTCTTAGCTTGAAATCAATGCTAGTGAAAGTATTTACACAACACAAACTGCACATGCTACAAATCAGAGTTTTGCTTTGTTTTGTTTCAGAGAGCTAGTTGTTAAACATTTACCAGCACACCACTGCTCCCAAGTTGTAACCTCTACCACCCACTAGAAATCTGGGGTTTATTCTCCAGAGAATGTGAGCCATAGGAGCTTGAGACTCAGGCACAGCAGTCAAAAAGGAGGGCAAGCAAAAGATCCACTGCTGAAAATAGAGACACTGTGTGAAAATCTGTATATTGATCACTAAGTTCCTTCAACCCCGGAATCAGCATTCAGGTTGCATTCCCCTGACAGGAAACTGAGAATTCTTCTCTGAAGAGACAAAATTGTCTCTTCAGAAAAAAGAAAAAAGACTTATGCAGAATGATATGTTGAGAGGGCCTCAGTGAAAAATCCGGCTAACTTGTTTGATCCTCCTGCACTGAACTAGTCTATGCAAGCTATCTACCCAGATACGCAAACTCTAAAGAATTCATTTTACAAGTAACCTTTCTCAAGAAGTCACTAAAGGATATACTCCTCCAAAACAAAGGAATAAACCAAGAAGAGAAAATGGATTTAGGAAACAGAGAAGAGAGGCAATGGACATTCCCAGAGTGACAGCTGTGCCTTATGCCCAGAGAGCACAGTGCATGCTGGGGCAGGAAGCAAAGGGCTCCAAGGAGGAGGAATGAAAAAGGAGCTGGTAAATTATCTGACTGTTTGACCACACAGAACACTGTAATGAGAGATATTTTACAGAACTGTTTGGGGATATTAGAAGACTTAGACATTCAAAGAAAATTAAACAAAGGAAAAAATGAGGCAATTACTAACTCTAGGTAAAACTGACAACAAAAGTAAATACAAAAGGCAGCCACACATTCCAGTGCAGATCACTCAACACTGGAAAGCACTTATGTAGTCACAACAAAGTAACAAAAAAAAAAAAAAAAAAAGATGTAACCAAAAATTTAGACATAATCAATTATATATGGAAGAAGTGAGGAAAGGTATAGGAAGTATAAGGTTTAAATGAGTAAAAATCCTAACATATCCTATAGAAAGTAAATTGATTTAACAAGAGGAATATTATTTTCACATGAGGAGGTAAATACCAGAACAAACAGTTAAAAACGAAGTGATTCTTCTAGCAAATGGCACAAATCAATGAAATGGGACAAATCAATGGGAGAAGAGAGTGAAGAAATATGTATGTGTGTGTGTGTGTGTCTTATAGAAGTATTTAATAATTATTTTCATGTAATACTTTCACCATAATTTTTAAAATTTAAATAATCAAGAAATAATGAAAAATAAAAATAGTTTATAAATTACAGACAACTGCAGAGAATGTGGGAATTCTGATTTTTTTTTTTTTTTTTTTTTTGAGAGAGGGTCTCACTCTGTCACTCAGACTAGAGCGCAGTGGCACAATCTGGCTCACTGCAACCTCCACCTCCTGGGCGCAAGTGATTCCAGGCTCCCCCACCCCCGACAATCCCACGCATGCCACTGCACTTGGCTAATTTTTTGTTTTTTTGTACAGACAAGGTCTCACTATACTGCCCAGGCTGTTCTCAAACTCCCAGGCTCAAGCAATCCTCCCAGCTGGGCCTCCCAAAGTAATGGGATTGCAGGTGTTAGCCACTACACCTGGCTTGATATTCTATTATAAGGGGATTACTGCATTGTAATAACAGGAAAAAATTTCCAAATCAGGAGAAGTCTGGTTAAAACATCTTGCAATAAACTTTGATTATTCATCATTAGATACCATAATCAAAGCCTCACTTAGTTATGGGCCATTAGACAAGAGAACCTGTGATGAACACATCAAGGATAAATCAGGACAGTACTTCTGACCTTATCCTTTGCAGGAAGCCAGAATCTTTACTGGGGCACCCACACTTACTCATCAAATGTTCATGAAAGATAAAATTCATGCGTCCCTTGTGTATTTCAAATTTCATTTCTAAAAAAGATCAATAAAAACCTTTTCCTTTCATAGTTCTCGTCATACTTTTTATTTCCTGCTTTGAAATGCCAATATAACTGCTATAGGGAGAAATTGATTTCATAATTACAGGGGGAAATTAGCAATGGGAGCAGGCTTAGAGTGGTAAGAACAAGAACCATAAATTTTAGTGGAATGGAAGAAATAAATCATTCTTTCTGGAAGTTTGGTGGGGAAAGAATGAGAAATTCAGTGGTAGTGGCAATACGGAGGAATGAATTTTCTAGATGGGGAGATCTACGTTTGTTAAAAGGCAAAGGGGCAAGATGCAATTTTTTAAAAAAGTTAAATGGTGGTGAAAAGGAAAACTAAAGATGGAAATGGACTGATTGAAAAGCAAAAGTGGAGGGGTTTGCTTTGTGACCAGGGAGCCCTTTCCTGTGAAATTCAAAGAAAGACAATGACTATCTAGAGAATGTTTCTAATGTAACAAAAGGAAATATTCTTCACATGAGGAGGTAAATACCAGAACAAACAGTTAAAAACAAAGTGATTCTTCTAGCAAATGGCACAAATCAATGAAATGGGACAAATCAATGAGAGAAAAGAGTGAAGGAAGGCTGACTGCACCAAGAATCACCAACTGAAACAGAGAGACTCCCCAGTTCCATCCCCAGAAACTCTGATTCAGTAGGTCGAGGATGAACCTGGGAGGTCATGACTAACAGGTTCCCCAGGGGATCTCTGTGGGTAGCTAAGCTTAGATGCCACTGTATAGGGATCCCCAAGATATGAATAAAATAATTCCAAACAGTATTAAAGGCACCAGTGGGGCTAAGATGTTAATGCTCCAACAATGGGAGAGAGAGAGAGAGAAAGCAGAATGGTGAGGGCTAACCCACATAATTAGTGGGAATTACAGCAGCTTTGAGTTGCTGGCCAAATCGCACCTTCTTGTTCCAAGGTGAAAATGATTAAAACTAAAACACAAAACCTCATTTCTCATTCTTTTTTATTTAATCAATTTTCAACCAAAAGTAGCTCCCAGCCAGGTGCAGTGGCCCACGCCAGTAATCTAACACTTTGGAAGATAGGAGGATTGCTTGAGCCCAGAGTTCGAGACCAGCCTGGGAAACATAGTAAGACCCTATCTCTATAAAAAAATGAAAAATTATCTGGGCATGATATCACACATCTGCAGCCCCAGCTACTTGGGAGGCTAAGGTGGGAAAATTGCTCAAGCCTGGGAGGTCAAAGCTGCAGAGAGCTGTGATTGCACTACTGCACTCCAGGCTGGGCAACACAGCGAGACCCTGTCTCAAAAAAAAAAAAAATAGTATTCCCCTTCATTGATAAAATCATTACCTCAGTGCATGGGGGCACTTGCTTCCCAGGTCACTACTTAGTTCAATAAAAGGAAAACCCATAATTTGGTTCCTCTCTTTGGGTACTTTGCTAGTGTACTTCTAGGGCAACATTTGTTTTTAAACAAGGTATCTAAACTTATTGGTATAGATGTCTAGTTTAATCTCAGTGCTTGGAATTCTTGTAGAACTTTCAGCAAGATATGGGCTCCCTGCAACTTTAGATAATGATTACTTATTAGTTTTTTTTTAACTTAAAAAGCATATCAGCAAGTATCTGTATCAGATATTAACATACAGAAAGGACAAATAAAAATCAACTACTTTCCTAAGACTGTATACTTTCATCATTTAAATAATGCTTTTCTGATCTTAAATATTGCTTCTTTAATTATTTGATTAAAGCTACAAAATTCAGCCGAAATAGAAATCATAGTATTTAAAATAACTTTCCAAAAAGATTGAAACTAAAAATACTATTAGAGCACAATGGAAAAGGCAGTGTGTCTATGTGTAATATGGCGTAATAGACATGGTCTTTTGTCATTGAAATAATAATACTGTTTCCTCACCCAAATGCAGGCTTCTTTTAAGTCCAGAGAGTGAAGAAATGTACACATAATCAATTTAAGCAAATTACAAAGGCAGCTGATCCATGGCTTTATAACATAATCTCTGTCACAGCACTGCATTCTGGGAAGCAGCCAGCTGTTGTCAAGCCTTAATGAAAAATGCCAGATAAGTGGCTTTACTTCAAAACACAGAAATTGGCCTGAATAAATCAAGGAATTGTTATCAGATTTTGATATCATCTGGAAAGGAAAGTCTAGCCTCCTTCTGAAAGCTGAAAAACATCATTTCTTTAATCAAGAAATTACCTCACTAAAAGCTGTGACACTTTAGTCAACTTAATCATTAAAGTGTCAGTTTCTTCACTTCATTTGCTTTCTGAGTGATAGGCCCAAGTTCTTTTGATTTATTTTCATTAAGCAAAAAAGGACTATAAGTCACAAAGAAAATTATATCACAAAACCCACATTTGATTTGAAACATAACACCTTAAAAGTATTTTGTTCATTTTTTAGACCTGAATACTACATCATTAAATATATATCTTTCATTAAAATAACTTGCATTTATTAAAAATTTTCAAAAAAAACAATTTGGAGAAAGGTAAGAAATATGCTTCCATTTATACAGTTAAGAAACACATATTAGTGCAGTGATACTCAAACCTGGTTACACATTAAAATCACCTGGGAGACTCTGTAAACTAACAACATCCCACCCCACACGGATCAAATCACATCTCTGAGGCTGATGCCTAAGTATTGGTATGTGCTGTTTTTGGGGGTTGTTTAAGTTACCCAGGTGATTCTAACGCAGCCAGGTTTGAGAATCCCACCTAGGGCATTGACTCTCAAATTTGGCTGCATATTAGAATCACTTGGGGGAAGACAGTGGCCGATTAAAAACACTGATGCTTTAATCCTGTTATAAGTTGAATTGTGTGTCCCCTCCTCTGCCAAAAAAAAAAAAAAAAAAAAAGTCTGTTGAAGTCCCAATCCCCAGTACCTCAACATGTGACTGTATTTGGAGATGGGTTATGTAAAAAGGTAAAAAGAGGTCATTAGGGTGGCCCTACTCTAATAAGACTGTTGTTCTTATAAAGGAAGGAGAACAGGATACGGATGGGTACAGAGGGAAGACCACATGAAGAAACCAGGAGGAGAAGATGGCAGAGAAGAGAAGCCTCAGAAGAAACCAAACCTGCCAACACCTAAATCCTGGACTTCTACCCTCCAAAACTATGAAAAAAATCAACTTCTGTCGTTTAAGTCACCCAGACTGTGGTACTTTGTTATGGCAGCCATGGAAAACAAATACAGGTCCCATTCCCAGAATTCTGATTTTGTAATTGCGGAGGCAACCCTGGATCTGGGCTTTTTAAATGCTCCCAGGTCATTCTAATGTGCATTCAGGGTTAAGAGACACTGCTGTAGGTATCCTAAAATCTGATTTCACCTGTCCTCTACTTGATGTTAGGAAAGCAGCAGTTGCTTATACTTACCGACATCTCTCTACTAAAACTATTAAATGGATGTAATCAAGAAAATAAATAGAAAATTAAGTATTTTATTGAGAACATTGCTTCATCCCAGTTAAGAACTCCCACTGGAGATAGTGCCATTGATCCTCCTTCTCACCACCACCCCCATTAATGGAAGGTATGTTATTTTCTTATGAAATATTTAATATCTGTTCCCTATAATTCACAACTTACAAACAGGATCATTCCAACCATTTGTGTTCACAAACTCAAATGTTCTTATTTCTATTTATCTTTCCACTCTTAATATTGCCATTTTCTTGTCTCCACTTGAGATTAATGAAACTTTGCACAATTATTTCAAAATATGGGTTTTAATAGCTTCAGTGTCAACTTGGAATGCAACAGCTATGCATTATCTTTCTTTCCCCATAAAAGAGATCTAGTGGCTTCTGAATCACACAAACCTCAGATCCAATCAGCCCTGCCACTAAACAGCTGTGTGACCTTCAGGAAGTTATATAAACTCTCCAAGCTTCCAGGTATTCCCCTTGAAAGGACTAGGTATGTGTTCCCCTGGCCCTTTCCCCACCAACTGCTGGTAGGAGATGGCAACAAGTGGAGATTTGGGCCCAAGATAAAAACCGTGTTTTGAGGATGGTAGGACAACCCAAAAAAGCTAAAGACCCCTTGCCTAGCTTGGATATTATTTGAGGGATAATTAAATGTCTATCTTGTCTGAAACACTCTATTTAGAGAATACTACATCACAGCAGCAAAGCTTGTACCATATTCTACATATTCGCTTCTGTGGAGACAAGTTTGAGGAAACTATTCTGGAATTTTGGAAGAAACTCTTATGGAAGATACAAGAGCAATGAGGAGGTTACTATAGAAGTTCAAATGCAAGAGTCAGTGGCTTGGAATACTACAGTATGACAATGGAGGTGGATGTGGAAGTTGGTAAACATACACTTTGGAAGTACAATGAACATAAACTGATGATGCACTGAATGTAAAAGAACATGTCAAAGATGGCTCCCAAGGTCCTAAGAAGATAGAAGAATTATTGACTCATGAAGACTGGAAAAGAACTATAATTCTAGGGGAAGATTAAGAAATTTAAACTTGTAAAATGTAAGATATCTGTGAGACATAGATGTGATCATGTCAGAGTTGAAGGTCTGTGCCAGTGACGTGGGAGTAACTTCTCTATTCATCTCCAGACTTGGGTTGTTGCCCAACAGGTCCCAAGTACAATGCACAAAGTGAGCACAGCCACACTAATACCACCTTAAATATTTAGGAAACATTATGGGACCCCAAGTCCTTCATTCATTCCTGTACATGGAAAAAAAATCCTTGATCCTTCTCTTGGTTTTATTTTATAGCCTTCTCTTTGGCACTAATGGACCGTAAGTTCTTTTAATCCTTTTGTAAAGCACCTGACTGATTTATATTTAATCTTTCATTGTAGCTGTGTATAGTTTATGTTTGTTTTCAAAATTCTATGTCTAAGGTTTATTTTTAAAATGTCTTTGTCCAAACAATCTCTGCAACATTTCAAGGATGATATGGCAGAAAACATTATAGTGTGCTTGGTGACCCAAATCAACAGAAGTAGCTGGTGAGGGAGATGAGACAAAGAGGCTTAACAAAATTTATCCAGCCCATTTACAATAGCTTCAAAGAAACAAAATACTTAGGAATAATTTTACCCAAGGAGGTGAAAGATCTGTACAATGAAAACTACAAAAGATTAATGAGAGAAATTGAAGAAGACATAAATAAATGGAAAGATTATCCATGCGCATAGATTGGAAAAAATAACATTGTTAAAATGTCCATCCTATGCAAATGGTGTACAGATTCAATGCAATCCCCACCAAAATTTCAATGACATTTCTCACAGACACAGAAAAAGCAGTTCTAAAATTCATAAAGGATATTACAGGACCCCAAATAGCAAAAACAATCTTGAAAAAGAACAAAGCTGGAAGCCCACTTCTTGATTTCAAAACATCCTAAAAGCAACAGTAGTTGAGACAGTGTGCTACTGGCATAAAGTAGCATACATAAATCAACAGAACAGAATAGACATCCCAGAAATAAATTTATGCATTTATGGTCAATTGATCTTTGGCAAGTGTGCTAAGAACACACAATGAAGAAAGGACAGTCTCTTCAATAAATAGTTCTGGGAAAACTGGGTATCCATATGCAGAAGAAAGAAAATGGACCTTTATCTCACACCAAATTCAAAAAGCAACTCAAAGCAGATTGAAGACTTAAATATAGGACCTGAAACTATAAAACTACTAGCAGAAAACACAGGGGGAAAGCTACGTGACATTGGTCTAGGCAATGATTTTTTTGTATATGACTTTAAAAGCACAAGCAAAAAACCTTAAGCACCTTAAAAGCACAAGCAACAAAAGCAAAAATAGACAAACGGAATTACATAAAACTAAAAAGTTCTGGCACAGCAAAGGAAACAATCAACAGAGTGAAGAGACAACTCACAGAATGGTAGAAAATATCTGCAGACTGTACATCTGATAAGAAGTTAATATTCAAAATATATAAGAAACTTAGGCAACTCAATAGCAAGAAAACAAATAACTCAATTTTAAAACAGGGAAAAGACTTGAACAGACATTTCTCAAAAGACATACAAATGGCCAACGGGTATATGAAAACATGTTCAACATCACTAATCATCAAGAAAATGCAAATTAAACCAAAATAAGATATTACCTCATGCCCATTAGAATAGTTATTGTCAACAGATAAGTGCTGGAAAGATATGCGGAAAAAAGGAAAGGCTTGTACATTGTTGGTGGAAATATAAATTAATATAGCCACTATGGAAAACAATGGAGGTTTATCAAAAAATTAAAAATAGAATTATCATATAATCCAGCAATACCACTTGTTGGTGTACATCTAAAGGAAATGAAATCAATATGCTGAAGAGATATCTGCACTCCATGCACTGCAGCACTATTCATGATAGCTAAGATGCGGTATCAACCTAAGTGTCCATCAATGCATGAATGGATAAAGAAAATGTGAGGGGGGGGGTGTTTAATATATGTATACATACACACAATAGAATACTACTCAGCTGGAAAAAAGGGATCCTGTCATTTGTGACAACATGAATGAACCTGGAGGAATTATGCTAAGTGAAATAAGCTAGGAACAGAAGAACAAATACTGCATGATCTCACTTATATGTGGAATCTAAAAAAGCTGAACTTTAGAAGTAGATAGTAGAATGACAGCTGCCAGACACTGGGAACTGGCATAGGTGGGAGATGTTGGTCAAGGGGTGCAAAGTGTCAGATAGAATAAATAAGTTTGGGAGATCTATTGTATAGCATGGTGACTATGGTCTGTAATAACATATGGTATAGCTGAAATTCACTAAGAGAGATTCTCTTTTAACTTTTACGTTCAAGGGGTACACATGCAGGTTTGTTGTATAGGTAAATTGTGTGTCACAGGGGTTGGGTGTACAGATTATTTTGTCACCCCGGTAATAAGCATGGTACCCGATAGGTAGTTTTTCGATCCTCTCCCTTCTCCCACCCTCTACCCTCAAATAGGTTCCCGTGTCTGTTGTTCCCCTTTGTGTCCATGTGTTCTCAATGTTCAGTTCCCACTTATAAGTGAGAATATGCAGTATTTGGTTTTATGTTCCTGCATTAGTTCACTTAGGATTATGGCCTCTGGCTCCATCTATGTTGCTGCAAAGAACAAGATCTTGTTCTTTTTATGGTTACATATTAATAGCATCCTATGGTGTCTATGCACCACATTTTCTTTATCCAGTCTACCACTGATGGGCATTTAGGTTGATTCCATGTCTTTGCTATTGTGAATATTGTTGTCATAAGCATACATGAGTCTTTAGGGCAGAATTAATTATATTCCTTTGGGTGTATACAGAATGGTAATTCTGTTTTAAATTCTTTGAGAAATTGCCACACTGCTTTTCACAGTGGCTGAACTAATTTACATTCCCACCCCAGCAGTGTATAAGTGTTCTCTTTTCTCTGCAAACTCACCAGGACCTGTTATTTCTTTACTTTTTCATAACAGCCATTCTGTCTGGTGTAAGATGGTATCTCGTTGTGGTTTTGATTTGCATTTCTCAAATGACGAGTGATGTTGAGCATTTTTTCATATGCTAGTTGGCCGAGTGTATGTCGTCTTTTGAAAAAGTGTCTGTTCATGTCCTTTGCCCACTTTCTAATGGAGTTGTTTGTTTCTTGCTTGTTAATTTAAGTTCATTTAGATTCTGAATATTAAACCCTTGTCAGATGCAGAATTTGCAGATATTTTCTCCTATTCTATAGGTTGTCTGTTTACTCTGTTGATAGTTTCTTTTGCTGTACAGAAGTAAAAGTGATATTAAATGTTCTCACAAAGAATGATACGTATGTGAGGTGACTGATATGTTAATTTGCTTGATTTAATCATTTCACAACATATACATATATGAAAACATTACTTGGTATACCATAAATATATACAATTTTTGTCACCTATAAAATGTTTTTGTCAACTATAAAATATTTTTCTTTCCTAACGAAGAAAAAAAAACTTATCCAGAGGTCAGAATTTAAGTTTATGCCTCTCTTATCTGCAAATACCTCATTCAAATAAAATCTATCATCTTAATAGTGCTTTTGAATATGAGAGAGAAAAAAAGAAACCTTCTGTCTTGGTTGCTATGGTTACAAGAAAGGCGTTGTGGATGTGAATATGCCGACTTCACAAAGTCAAAAGCAAGAACAGTGATATTCTCAGCACTGATAAACACTCTGCCACTACAGCTGCACATTTACAAACTTCCATGAACTCAATGAAAGTGGATTCAGGGATCCATTAGGTATTTTATCATATTATATATCATCCCCAGCTCACACTACTTTTAAAAGAGCTGAAGAAAGAAATCTCTTGATAGACAGCTTCCTGTCCATTTACAACCTAGAAGGTACCTAACAAAAAACAAACAAAAAAACTTGCTGGCAAACCAAACTGTTTTTACTGAGATAAGAAAGAAACCATAAACACAATCATTTTAAAACACTCATATTTTAAGTATAGCTGCTAATATTGAATGACAGTTGCCATAAACTCTAATTGGATGAGATGCATTAGAGTTAAGTGTGTTGAGCCAAAATGCTCTTACATTTGCCGTACAGATTTCCGGGAGCAATTCACAGTATGTATTTCTGCAGCTATAACCATTTTTAACCCAGATTACTCTTTCAGGAAGTTTATTTTAAGCTCAGTAACTTAAATACTGTACCCAAAAAATATATAGAAAGGAAGAAAGTAAGACTTTACAAAATTATTATAGAGGCCATTATATATATATAGACAATTATTATATAGACAATTATCCAGTCTACCATTATGAGCATTTAATATAGAATAAGAAAGAGCTCTGTACTGTATCACATCAAGAACCTTCTTCCCACCCTTAAGAAACATTCTGATCTTAAATCACCCTGCAGGCCCAGTTCCAATGACTTCCATTAGCTCTCAATTATCCACGATGATAATGAACCAGAACAAATAGTCAATTCACCAATTACCCTCATTTTGCCCAAATATCACAGCCTTTTCCTTAACTAATATAGCTAAAGATTTGCAATTAATCTATTAATCTTGTTATTTCCTTTCTACCAGCTCTGAGGCAATTAGTATATAGAAACAACACATACTAGCTAACACGGCGAAACCCCGTTTCTACTAAAAATACAAAAAATTAGCTGGGCGTCGTGGCAGGCGCCTGTAGTCCCAGCTACTTGAGAGGCTGAGGCAGGAAAATGGCGTGAACCCGGGAGGTGGAGTTTGCAGTGAGCCGAGATCGCACCACTGCGCTCCAGCCTGGGCAACAGAGAGAGACTCCGTCTCAAAAAAAAAAAAAAAAGAAAAGAAAAAAAAAAGAAACAACACAAACATCAGATGGGAGTCAGGAATAAAAGAAAGAGAAAAAGAGAACAACTTAGATAATTCTCCAACTTGATATTTAGCTCCTGAATAATTAAGAATCAACTAGGATATAGTGCCCACCACACTCACTGAAATTTTTTAAAATTCTCTTTTCATACCTTTAAGTCAAGGGCAAGCATTTTAAAAAGCAGACAGCCAATAACTGCTCCTCTCACACATACTTTGTTTCTAGGAGTAGATACTTTAAACTATTTCCTTTATGAAATTCTAACTTATTGTTTTTGTTGATTGGCCCTAAACCTCACCAAAACAAAACCAGCAGACCTAAGCAAATCAGGATGCCTCCCAGTTTCAGGTGATCTCTTTTTCCTTTTAACACTCACAGTGAAGTACCTAACATGCTCTCCTATTTCTTCACCATTCTGAATGCCATCTCCCAATCCTGCTTTAATACCAATTTACTGCCACAGCCCATGTCTCACTTACCTTTTAATTCCTGCAATACCTGGAATAGTGTCTTGTGCATAGTAGGTGACTAAGAAATTGATCTTGAGTTGAAGTAAGTTAAAAACGCCTTTCTATACACATGCAAAATAGTGAGTTAGCAGGAACAGAAAACCAGACACTGCATGTTCTCACTTATAAGCGGAAGCTGAACAATGAAAACACATGGACACAGGGAGGGGAACAGCACACACTGGGGCCTGCTGGGTTTGGGGGGTAGGGGGACGGAGAGCATCTGGAGAAATAGTCAATGCATGCAGGACTTAAAATCTAGGTGGTGGGTGACAGGTACAGCATACCACCATGGCACATGTTTACTTATGTAACAAACCTCCACGTCCTGCACGTGTCCCAGAACTTAAAATTAAATTAAATTTTTAAAAAATAGTTGTCAAAAAAGTGTAAGTACCTCAAAATGGGAAATAACTGTGTTCAGTGCAGTATAAAAAGAGGTCCTAGACAGCAATTCCTAAACCATCACAAGCTGAAGAAAATACCCAAGTTCACTGCATAATCTCATTCAACAGAATCAGAGCACTGAAACTAGCCACATCTCATCAGATGGTAACTGTGGAATGAGTGAGTATCAGAGGACCGTGCAATCAATATGAGTAGCAATGACCCAACAGAGAAAGTATGGGGAAGATCACAGAAGCCTAAAACTGAGAAATTGGCAGTTTTTCAGGTCCTTTGGTCACATCATGTCTTGCTCATTACCCATTCAAAAGAATTTCCTTTAAAATAGTCCAGTTCTGCTCTATGCAGGATATTTTACAATCTAGCCTTAAACAAAATTGAATATACATATGTAAATTATGTAAAATGACCACAGCCCTCCAATTTTGACAATTTTAACCTTAACAATTTAAACCTCTCCACTTCCCCTTTCATGTTCAACTGACCTGTGTAGTAATAAGACATTCAAGAAATAATTTTATCATAGTCCTTTATGCTTCCCACTGAATTTAAAACTGGGAATAAAGGCCTCTGTCCTATGAAAAGGTTAGATCATTGGTTGGTTGGGTGATTGGATGGTTGGGTGGGTGGGTGGGTGGGTGGGTGGTTGGTTGGTTGGTTGGTTGGTTGGTTGGATGGTTGTAGGTTGGTATGAGGAAGGCAAGAGGTCTGTCTATTTCTTGAATCATACTCAATAAGGCCATCTCCAAACAGGAAGACAGGAACCCCACCAAGATCATTTGTATAAAGGTACTGGTAGCTTCTGCCATAAAAAGGAAAAGAATGGGTGGAATTTGCATGCAGAAATGAATAATTTAATTGAAGATCAGCCGGTGTAGACTGCCTTATAAGTTGTTACCACCTACAGCAACAGCTGAGCCTCCTTGTAATTATAGTTCTATCAATGACTTTATCCTTTAAAGAAAAAAACAAAACCTGAAATATCCTCAGAGCACTATAAATGATAGCAACTATTCCAGAATGCTGCTCTGAGGTGGGTGAGGAAAGTTTAAGTCTGACTTTCACCGACCAGATCTAAACACTTTTATGGGGGCAAAGGGAGCCCAGGCTTTCTTGCTAGCAATAGATACTGCTTCTTAGGCTCTATCTTCCCTTCCGAGACACCTCCCAGTTTCTTTTCCCAATCAAGGTGGCTCTTATTTTTATTCCAGCTGGAATTTACCACACGAAACTTAAGAGGGTGAGCATATAATGTGACTTAGCCCAAACCCTTCACTTACCTGCCCTGCCACCCTCCAACTGACCCCTCCCTCATGACCTTCTGTCCACAGCCCCTGCTCATTCAGCACTGATGTAGAATAGGGCATAGAGTAAAGAGTAACTGTCTACCACTTTTAGCAGCCTATCTTTATAGAAAACAAGATCATAGAAGGCACAATAAACCAAATAAGCCCTTCCCAGATAGAAAAAAGAACTTTGACAGTGCTGGCCTCCTTATGTGGGAACTTTTGTGAGTTAAAAATGTTATTAATAAAATTGCAAACATGCCCCTCCATATGTGTCCTGGTAGGAGCAAGATGGCTCCCTGAAAATTATGCAGGCAGATGACCTACTGATTACAATTCTTCCTCACATCTGCAGTGTGTTGCAGCTCAGAAGGCCTGACCAATTGTCGCTGTATGGTGCCTAGAGTTCTATGAACATACATTATTTTTCCAAAACATACAAGGAAATGAAAAGCATCAAAGAATAAGGTATAGTAGGAAAACGAGGCCTCTTTACACAATAAACTATTAAGAAGAAAAACAAAAGACCCAGTTATTTCATTTTATTTTAGCCCCTTAGTTTTCACAGATTTAAAGTCATCAAGTATAAAAGAACCCAAAGATCTTTCCCTCAAGACATTTCACCAAATAGCTCAACTGCCAAACATCTGAATTTGAGTTCAGTCATATCATTTGCATGTACTCTATTTTGTGAAGAACAGATCTGTTGAAGTAGTGTTTCTTATTACCAAAATTGTATGTTTCCCTGAAGCAATGTAGTAATTAAAGATTCTCCTTGACTGATATTTTCAAAAACGTCTATTTAAAGTGGGAGGTTGGGATATGTGGTAAGTCTTATGAAAGTGTGAAGTAGTTAAAAGATCTAAATGGCACATATTCCATTGCAGATCACTTAAGTTACTTTTAGGTTGTTAATATTTATATAGAGCAGTAGTAATGGATTTTTCTTTACTTCAGAAGTTCCAAGATTAGTAGGCATTTGCACAGATTAATGCACACTCTTCCATGCAGATTCACCCCATGGGAATCTTTTTCCCTCTCACTATTTGATACTCAGTGAGACATCTGTGTATCACAGGAGAAAAAATGTCAAAAGAACAACTTTAGGTAATGTTTGATTCAATAAATAAATTGAAATTAAGTATGTTATTTTTGTTTTCTTTTTCTCTCTATTATTCTATAACCTCACACTGATAGAGTAGATAAAGGATGAGGCAATGCAAGTCAACGAATGAGAAACAAAGATGGACGAAGAACTAAAGGAAAGTCTCTGTGTCACTTACTTTACTAGTTACCTAGCACTATTTTTAACTCTCTCATTAGAATTCATACCTGCCCAGAATCCAAATGTGAAGCTGTCCAGTACTCTGTTCTAAAATCAAAACACATCAAATGCCCAGCTTTCAATTATTCCTATAAAATATATCTTAATCACTCATATCCCTTCTACCTAACCTTCTGAAGTACCTGAAAACTGTCAAGAGAAAAGGAAGGAATTCTTGATATGAATCCCACTAAGTCACTGTGAGTCACAGAAATGGCCAGGCCACTCCTGCTTATCTGCTAATAACAGCTGCAGCCACTTCCAACTGAAGAGCAGGAGCCTTCCTGCCCACCAAACAAAGAGTGGAAACAGGAAAGAATCTTCATTCAACAGTTAAGGAGCATGCTGCCTCATCTTCTGGAAGGTGGAGCTTCCTTCTAGGGTGTTTATAAGACTGCTGATACAAATGTATAAAACCCAAATCAGGAGAAGGCGTTTACAGTCGGCCCTCCATATCCATGGGGGATTGGTTCCAGGACCCCAGAAGGATACCAAATTCAAGAATGCTCAAGTCTCTTATATAAAATCGTTCAGTACAGTATAACAAATGTCACTATGGCATTAATGAGGCTAGAAAATGACTGGCCTGGAAACTGTTTATTCATTAACATAATTTAAAAACTAACAATTCACTGAAGCATATACATTAGCAATCACAGAATCTCATTTAGTTAAGTGACACATGCCAATGCTAAAATGTTTTCATTATAGAAAAGTTGAAAAAATTAAAGAAAAGTGTAAAGAAAAAGATTACCAAAGGGGAAACAATATAATCCAAACAGAAGGCAATGACTATTGACATGGTGGTATATTTTTCCAGGTATTTTTCTAGGCATATTTATTTTTGAATTGTTGTACTGAGTTGTATACATAATTGTGAATCGATTCTGTTGCTTCATTTACTATTGTAATATCTAAGTTATGAGAAACTCTTTATAAATATCATGTTTATGACTGAGTTTAATCTTGGAACTAAGCAAAGGTGAAGACAAGGACTCATCAGTGATTTAACACCTTTTTAAAATCAAAGTTCAAGGATACACTTCCATCATTAACATTTCATCATATTGTTTTCATAAATACTTTTAGAATTGTGGGATCCAGTCCAAGTCAAAAAAAAGAGAGTCCCCTAACAGTGCTTAACACTTTCAAAATAATAATCCATTTCATAAATCTTCAGAGCAAAAACTATACCAGTGGTAATAATGTTAGCACAGATTCCACTCAGAGCATCTTGAATATTTATCTAAGACATAGTCCCAGCATTGGCTAGTATCTATACTTCTTTAAAAATATAATGGGGTCAAGAGAGAATTTTCATGTAAGTTAACTTCCTAGAGGCTCCTAACAGCTCTTCATAGTTAGTACTTAGTGAAAAATAAGCAACATTTGCTTGCTTAATGCCACTGAGTACAGAGTCAAGGAGATTTAACCATGACAATTAAGTCATGTTGAGTGATTATATAAATTGGAAGAAATTTCTTGTCCAAAGTGAAGAGCTAATACATATATCATTCTGGATGCTTACTCATGACTAATCATGTATTGAGCAATAAATGCAAAAGGAAAAATTGAAACTTGATGAAAGGAAGTTTCTAAAACTGTATACCTTTGGTTGAAATATATGCATATAATGACTAGATGCAGATATAAAGCAATATACCAGTCAAAAAAATCATACCATCAAACTTCATTTAAAAATGACCCTTGGTTCTAAATTTAACCTTAAGAGTTTGTGCATTTTTCACAAAATGGATCCTTCTTTGTGCTTTTCCTAAAAGAGGGGAAAACTACACCATATTTGCTTGTCAATTTTCACATAATCTGGCCATAACGTCACTAATGCTAGTCATCAGTGTCTGTTTGGGTTATTCCTGAGAAACAATATAACCTTAAAATTTTCCATAATAAACATAGATTTTGACACTCAAATTATTTCATCTTAGTATCTCACCCATGCACACTTGAATCAAAAGTTTGACCCATGAAGGAAGGTGTCTAGTGATAGGATCCCTCCTCCCAAGTAGTCCTTTCAAGTGAGCCAGAGAGGTTTCTAAATCTGGAAACCAGCATAGCCATTTCTCCAGAATTTTTGTAAAAATGCCCTGTGAGTTGGCTTATGTAATACTTGGCTGTTTGCCTTGAAAACACTAATTTTGTTCATTACAATGCTACTTTTGCTTTTCTACCTTTCTTCTTTGTATTTTTAGCATTAGGAAAAGACAGAAGGTAACCCTCAAAATGATAGAAGAACATATCAACCAAATTCTTCTTGAAATCCCAAAGGAAAGAGATATGAAGCATCACAGAAGAGGGTGAATACATTGAGGAGGGGCTCACTGACATTGGTGGTGCCAAGATGAGTTAAAGCAATGAATGGAGACAGAATTAAATAACATTAAATGACATGGTAGAATGCCATTCCCCTTTCAGTTCTCTTTCAATCCCTCTGATTACATCACAAAGAACATTTAAGTTTGCTATTCTTTAACACCCCTCTGACAATAACTGTGATAGATAAAAAGATGGCCACAAATTCTTCCCTACTATTTTCCTTGAATCTGAACTAGACTAAATCAATAGAAAGTGGTTAAGATGTTGTGGGACTTCAGAGCCTAGATCCTAAGAAACCTCAGTGTCCACGAAGACTTCTTTGAGCACTCACTCTTGGAACTTAGCTGCCACATGTGATGACAAACCATATGAAGAAGCAACGTGTAGGCACTACAGGAAATAGCTTCAGGCGGTCCCAGCTAACAGGTAGCAGCCCTTGCCCAGCCAAATAAGACAACCACCATGAACATCCAGCCCAATCAAGCCTTCAGATAATCCCTGCCCCAGCTGTCAAATGAAACCTCATGCCAAACCCAAACGAGTACCACAGGATAGCCAAGTCAACCCACAAAAATGTGAGTGATAGTAATAAAGTATTATTTTAAACCACTAAGTTTTGGGTGGCTTGTTTTGCAGCAACTGATAACCAGAAGGCTTCCTACTCCCCAGTTTCAAGAAAGAAACAATAGGCTGCAGTTTCAGCAAATGCGCAGGCCAATAGTAGACAAATGATAAAAATACTACTTTTGATCTTATTTATGTTTGTGCCATGTGATAGTGGGTTTTTATTTATGGTCACGGTTAGAAAAGGCAACATCAAATGAATACAAAGTTAAAGAGACAAATTTTTTAAATATCACGTAAATTATAATTTGAGTTTGAAAGCTCATAACAAAAAATGGGATGGTGAATGGCCATGAATGGCTGACATATGGGAAACATTGCATAAAGATAAAGGATAACATGGAAAGGTTCTAAGGGAATAGACTAGGCTCAGAAACAGAAACCTCTTATTTTGCCTAAAGAGGTAAAATGGCAGTGCAAAATCCACAAGTGGGTTCAGCCATTGCTTGTCACATTCTGATGTTTTCTGTCTATGTGTCACTACTTATTCCTGAGTCTCTACTACAAAATCTGAGGGTAACTCTGACCTCTCCCACAGGGTTGGTTTGGGGCTCTACAGCATGTTATTGAATCTACTCATATACTCTTTGGAGGTAGAAAAAAATCACAGTGAGCCACTGAAGCTTGACAAGTTATTTGCTGACATGCTGTGAACAAGAAATTTACACATGTTGCAGAGCAGCAAGTAAGGATTCATAAAGATGAGAGGGAAAACAAGACCCCCTCAAAGACAAACCAAAAGCCATAACTGACAAACATGGTTTGAATAGAAGGAAAGCTGACCTTCAAAACAAGACTGAATTTCATTCAGAATGTATTTAAGATCCAGAAGAAAGGACAGATGTGCTACAAATAGAGTGACAAAATATGATACTTAAGAGCATTTAAAACTGAGTAGAAAAATCAGGTCTCCAGCTAAAAGAGAGATTGAAATAAAAAGGGTTAATGACAAAGGTGTGGGAAGGTTTGGCAGGAGGCTCTGGTGTAGAGGAGGTCTGAGGGAGGGAGGGAGGGAGGGAGTGTTAGTGAGTGCATGGAGAAAAGTTGTAGTTTAAGTACAACTAGCAGACCATTAACATTTATGATGGATGTCCTCAGGCTTTTGTAAATACCACTACAACATATGATTTCCTCCATAAGATACACACTTGAGAAGATGTGGGTACAGGCTTTCTCCTTGGCTAGGAGTGGCTCCAACAAATTAGTCTTGCATTCTCACTGTCATATTTATGATTTGACCCAATTACAAATCACCACATTGAAGAGCTTAAAGTTCATTCCCAAATAATAGAAACTGAAAATGTTAAATCTGGGAAAGCCAAGAGTCTACTGTATTCACTTGGGAAGAAATTTCTTCTCAGAAGCTGAATGTTGATGATTAAGCAATCCACTAGCTAGAACTGAAACACCCCACTCAAAATTCAAGCTAACTGATTTTTTTTAACCAACCAGTTTTTAAAACTTCTCCAATATACTTCTATAGCACATAAACAAATCCCTCACAACTCTGAAAATTTTATTTTATATTTTTCACTTTATCACCCATATAAATACAGATTTTTTTTCTCAATACTTAAAAGTTTTCAGTGTGGGAAACAGCATGTGGTGTTGATAATTTCCTAGCCGGCACATTCATAAATTCAAGATTATTGAGAACTACAACAGTGTCCACAAAAGCCCATCAGGAAAAGTAAAAAACTGATTCTTAATCTGTTCATTTATAAATCACTTTTTCCATCTTAAAAACCAAAGCCATAATATTATGCTACATTTCAGATTGTTTGATTGCCCGAATTTATTCAACAAATGGGTAGGGAATCAGCTAGAAATTTGCATTCCTTTCACTTTATTCTATGATCAGTTCTAGATTATTCTCAAATATTATGGAAACCCTAAATGTAATATCTAAATGTAACGTTAAAAACTCTAGATGTAATACCTGAAATGCTCTGGGTTTTCAGTCAACCACTTAAGTCCTCAGAATATAATGAATACGTTCCTACTCATGACCCCCCCAGATAAGAAGGATGCTAAATTCAACTGTTGCTCTCCCTGTGCTGACAGGCAGGCCTGCACAGTGCTCAACAGTGAACTGGAGCCGGTCTCGACCCTGTGAGCGCTTCATTAAACAAGTTTAGCCCTCTGTACTTCAGTTCCCTGGTCTATAAAGTGCTGTATCAATAATAATAGTATTGCTCATGGGTTGTTGTAAAGATTAAATAGAGTGATACACATAAAATACTTAGCCTAATGCATCTACATACATTTTAGTGCTACTGTTTGTTGTTGTTACTAAGATTTACCACAACTCAAATTAACTCAAATCTAAAGGTGAATTTCTCAGAGCTTTCTCCATTGTCAATACCAGTGGAGGGTTCACCTGAAAAGATGTTTGTGTATTTGTGATATGACTGCTCTCAATTAAGAATTTATCAATCAGAGCCTGCTCAGGAGGAACAAAGACATTGAAGCTGCAGCAGAGACAAGGTCTTGATTTTCAAAGATCAGGCCTACGGCTAGGGTAAAGCTAGTGAAGCACTTGCCTTGCGTGCAAAAATGTAAGGGGGCCTCTCCCTCTCCCTCTCCCTCTCCCTCTCCCTCTCCCTCTCCCTCTCCCCACGGTCTCCCTCTCATGCGGAGCCGAAGCTGGACTGTACTGCTGCCATCTCGGCTCACTGCAACCTCCCTGCCTGATTCTCCTGCCTCAGCCTGCCGAGTGCCTGCGATTGCAGGCACGCGCCGCCACGCCTGACTGGTCTTGGTGGAGACGGGGTTTCGCTGTGTTGGCCGGGCCGGTCTCCAGCCCCTAACCGCGAGTGATCCGCCAGCCTTGGCCTCCCGAGGTGCCGGGATTGCAGACGGAGTCTCGTTCACTCAGTGCTCAATGGTGCCCAGGCTGGAGTGCAATGGCGTGATCTCGGCTCGCTACAACCTACACCTCCCAGCCGCCTGCCTTGGCCTCCCAGGGTGCCAAGATTGCAGCCTCTGCCCGGCCGCCACCCCGTCTGGGAAGTGAGGAGCATCTCTGCCTGGCCGCCCATCGTCTGGGATGTGAGGAGCCTCTCTGCCTGGCTGCCCAGTCTGGAAAGTGAGGAGCGTCTGCGCCCGGCCGCCATCCCATCTAGGAAGTGAGGAGCGCCTCTTCCCAGCCGCCATCACATCTAGGAAGTGAGGAGCGTCTCTGCCCGGCCGCCCATCGTCTGAGATGTGGGGAGCGACTCTGCCCCGCCGCCCCATCTGGGATGTGAGGAGCGCCTCTGCCCGGCCGAGACCCCGTCTGGGAGGTGAGGAGCGTCTCTGCCCGGCCGCCCCGTCTGAGAAGTGAGGAGACCCTCTGCCTGGCAACCACCCCGTCTGAGAAGTGAGGAGACCCTCCGACCGGCAGCTGCCCCGTCTGAGAAGTGAGGAGCCTCTCCACCCGGCAGCCACCCCATCTGGGAAGTGAGGAGCGTCTCCGCCCGGCAGCCACCCCGTCCGGGAGGGAGGTGGGGGGGGTCAGCCCCCCGCCCGGCCAGCCGCCCCATCCGGGAGGGAGGTGGGGGGTCAGCCCCCCGCCCGGCCAGCCGCCCCGTCCGGGAGGTGAGGGGCGCCTCTGCCCGGCCGCCCCTACTGGGAAGTGAGGAGCCCCTCAGCCTGGCCAGCCGCCCCGTCCGGTAGGGAGGTGGGGGGGTCAGCCCTCCGCCCGGCCAGCCGCCCCGTCTGGGAGGTGAGGGGCGCCTCTGCCCGGCCGCCCCTACTGGGAAGTGAGGAGCCCCTCTGCCCGGCCAGCCGCCCGGTCCGGGAGGGAGGTGGGGGGGTCAGCCCCCCGCCCGGCCAGCCGCCCCATCTGGGAGGGAGGTGGGGGGGTCAGCCCCCCGCCCGGCCAGCCGCCCCGTCTGGGAGGTGAGGGGCGCCTCTGCCCGGCCGCCCCTACTGGGAAGTGAGGAGCCCCTCTGCCCGGCCAGCCGCCCCGTCCGGGAGGGAGGTGGGGGGGTCAGCCCCCTGCCCGGCCAGCCACCCCGTCCGGGAGGTGAGGGGCGCCTCTGCCCGGCCGCCCCTACTGGGAAGTGAGGAGCCCCTCTGCCCAGCCAGCCGCCCCGTCCGGGAGGGAGGTGGGGGGGTGGGGGGGTCAGCCCCCTGCCCGGCCAGCCGCCCCGTCCGGGAGGTGAGGGGCGCCTCTGCCCGGCTGCCCCTACTGGGAAGTAAGGAGCCCCTCTGCCCGGCCACCACCCCGTCTGGGAGGTGTGCCCAACAGCTCATTGAGAACGGGCCAGGATGACAATGGCGGCTTTGTGGAATAGAAAGGCGGGAAAGGTGGGGAAAAGATTGAGAAATCGGATGGTTGCCGTGTCTGTGTAGAAAGAAGTAGACATGGGAGACTTTTCATTTTGTTCTGCACTAAGAAAAATTCTTCTGCCTTGGGATCCTGTTGATCTGTGACCTTACCCCCAACCCTGTGCTCTCTGAAACATGTGCTGTGTCCACTCAGGGTTAAATGGATTAAGGGCGGTGCAAGATGTGCTTTGTTAAACAGATGCTTGAAGGCAGCATGCTCGTTAAGAGTCATCACCAATCCCTAATCTCAAGTAATCAGGGACACAAACACTGCGGAAGGCCGCAGGGTCCTCTGCCTAGGAAAACCAGAGACCTTTGTTCACTTGTTTATCTGCTGACCTTCCCTCCACTATTGTCCCATGACCCTGCCAAATCCCCCTCTGTGAGAAACACCCAAGAATTATCAATAAAAAAATAAATTTAAAAAAAAAAAAAAAAAAGAATTTATCAATCAACCTGCACTTGTCTCTATCTGTACCTAGAATTCTGCTAGATAGGGCACTTTCCTTCACTAACACCACCCAAATACAAAAGGAGAAAATATAGAAACATTAAATATAAAGATAATAACACAAGTTTTCATGACTGTTATATTATGAGATACCCAGTAAAAGAGTTGTAAAAATTCTGATGAGAGAAATAACAGTGTGAACTGGATTTCAGTTTTCTGATATTTCAGAAAAGATATGCAGTTTCTGTTGTACATTAAACTCAAAGAAGTGTATGTCAGGTGAGAGAGACGGTGTGATCAAAGGTACAGAGGTGGAACAAGAGTGGAGTGTGCATAGAAATTAAGTCATGAAAATAGAGATTTTGGTGGGTAAGTACAGGTATGCTTGTTTCTCCAAGTATTAGGTAAAGAAATGCTTATTTATTTATTTATTTAAATTTGATTTGTATTTTTTGAACTTTTATCCATTTATTTAATTCAACTATAAAAGCTTATATCCGCCTGAATTAAGTATGAGGACATTTTTCCACGCCAATATTTATAATCAAGGCATACATTCTTACCACAACCAGTAATTTTTCACCCGAAACTTTGAAAAGGACCCCTATTAATTAATAGAGGTGCCTCTTGTTTTCCTATTTCATAGGTTCCATGCCATTATAAGTAACACTCAGCAACTGATAGATGCTGGTTTGCTATCATTCAATATAAACCAAATTTTCAGAAGAAATACAGTCATGTACCACATAACGCTTTGTTCAACAACCAACCTCATATATGACAGATTATAATACTGTATTTTTTACTGTCCCTTTTCTATTTTTAGATATGTTTAGATGCACAAATACCATTGTGTTATAATTGCCTACAGTATTTAGTACAGTAACATGCTGCATTCTTTGTAGCCTAGGAGCAATAGGTTGTATCATGTAGCCTAGGTGTGTAATAGGCTACACCGTCTAAGTCTGTCAATGTGAGTATACTCTATGATGTTTGTATGATGACAAAATCGCCTAACAATGCCCTGTCGTTAGCGACACATGACTGTACAATCACTAGATACTAAAGGCATAAGTATACATTCAATTTCATCTCCATGGCCTTTCTCATTGAGCTGGGAAATTAACTTGCTCATAAATCAAAATACGAAAGGCTTTCATGGTTTGCAAAGAACATTACATTGGCTTGCAAATAATGCTGGATATTTGCCCACTTTTGGAAAACAGCTGCAACAAAGTTATAGAAAATATGCCAAGTCATTTCACCCTTAGTTCTATATATATTCTTCAGAGGGCACAAGACCACAGCAGGTGTATCTTTTTACACTAGACACTGTCTGTAAGAACTATAATAATTTGAGCAGCATAAACCTATGCAAGCAACCTTAGGTACTTTTGCATATGTTATTATATACTTACTCTATTTTGCAATCATTCCATTAATTTCAATTGTTTCACTCATCAGAAATGTTACAATAAAATGAAGCAGCCATTTGGTTAATAATTTTTTCAAAATATGAAGTTACCATTTCAAAGGAGCTAGAAAAATAGTAATAATTTCCAATTCCAAGAAAGAAATCTCAGTCTTCCTCAGGCACTCTGTCCTCTGCTTGTCACTGATG
The DNA here is from genome assembly GCF_000001405.40 of Homo sapiens. Taxonomy (NCBI): domain Eukaryota; kingdom Metazoa; phylum Chordata; class Mammalia; order Primates; family Hominidae; genus Homo; species Homo sapiens. The sequence goes on along the minus strand of NC_000002.12, from coordinate 197,920,367 downwards.
TAGCATCCCATGCTACATGGTAGTGTCCAGTTTCTTCATGTTTCACAAACCACTCAACATCAAAAGCACTGGAGAGAAAGATGATACACACAAGTCTTCCAATGAGCATTCTGAGACAGTCTGTGGAACAGCTGTCCCTTTCACTCTCCCCTGCAGAAATAGCTGTGCCATTCTGAACAGCATTGTGATTAATGTTTCATATTCAAAAGTTTAATTTGACGGACCACTGATAAATTTTGAGTTGCAGAGTCAAAAAGACCAATGGATAAACAATAACCCAGTTGCTATTGACTTTGTGCCAGAAGACAATATATATGATCTTATTTCATTTTCATGACCACCCTATGGCTAGGCATTATTATTACCCTCATTTTCCAGATAAGGAAATCAAAGCACAAAGAGGTTAGGGAAGTTGCCCAAGATCACACAACTAGTAAATGGTGTGTAGCCAGGATTCAAACCCAAGCAATCTAAGAACTTGTCATTTTCTTCCAGAGACTTAATACAATGAGTTTATTTCTCATTCATGCTTCAAGGTCAACACAGGTCATCAGGAGAGTGCTCTGCTCTTCTTAGTCACTCAGAGAATCAGGCATACAGAAGCTCCATTTGGACACATATTTCCCCATTCATGCAGGCAGGAAAAGGAAATGTAGCAAACCTTGTACCAGCCCTTAAAATGTCCTCCTGGATAGAACATAAGTCACTTCCTCTCTTGTATCATTGGTGATTACAAGTCATATGCCTAACTTCAAAGAGGCTAGGAAATGCATTCTTACTCTGTGTTAGGAAGGCAGACAGCCAAAATATTTTGGAGCAGAACTAATGACAACTATAAAGGAAGTCAATGAGTGGGGGTTTTGAAGACACAGGAACATCATTAGAATTGTCAAGGAGGTGGAGCTTCCAATAACTATCTTGATTTTGATTTTTTTAGTTATGTTAAAACATCATGATAGTAAACGACATGTGGGTAAATGCCCTGTAAGAAAATCTTTGTGCTTCAGTACAAAACTATACATTGTCTAGAAAACATCCTTCTGGGTATCTGATTCTGACCCTATGGGTGTTGTCTTACAACTCTATAAATTATAGGTAACCGATTGCAATACAAAACAATTCTTGTCTATAGACATGCACATTATGTCCTGTCCAGTGGAGGTTAAACTGACTTGCTTTCCTCCCAGCAAAAGAAGCTAGTTTTGCCTCCATTTGCATGTTCATTTCAATATTTTTGATCTATAAATATATCTGATCTTTGGATTTATCTTTAAACTAGTTGTAGCATCTGCCTTGTTCCTTCATTATGAATTAAGTAAAATCTTTTAACACTATAATAATTTTTATATCTGTATGTGAGTCATTATTTTACTTTGTGTGTGTATGTGTGTGTGTGAGGGAGAGAGAGAGAGAGAGAGAGAGAGAGAGAGACAGGGTCTCCGTCTGTTGCCCAGGCTGGAGTGCAATGGTGCAATCACAGCTCACTGCAGCCTCAACCTCCTAAGCTCAAGTGATCCTCCCACCTCAGGCTCCCCTAGTAGCTGGGACTACAGGTGCATGCTACCTCACCTGGTTAATTTTTCGTTTTTTGTTTTTTGGGATTTTTTTGGCAGAGATTGAGTTTCGCCATGTTGCTCAGGCTGGTCTCAAACTCCTGGGCTCAAGCTATCTGCCTGCCTCAACCTCCCAAAGTGCTGGGATTACAGGCATGAGCCACCGTGCCTGGCCAACTTTACCCTTGTTAAAAATCTTCTTTTAAATGGACCATTATTTTTTATAATAAACTTTAATTTTTAGAACAGTATCAGACTGTAGAAAAATAATGAAAATAGTACAGAGAGTTCCTATATACTCCATACTCCGTTTCTCCTATTTATATCTTACATATTATGGTACATGTTTTTATAGTTAATGAACTATTACTGATATATTAACTAAAATCCATATTTTCTTCTAATTTCCTTAGTTTTTGCCTAACGCCCTCTTTCTGTTCCAGGCTCTCATCCAGGAAACCACACTGCAGTTAGTTGACATGTCTCCGCCTTAGGCTCCTCTCGGCTGTGATAGTTTCTCATTCTTTTCCTGTTTTTGATTACCTTATTAGTTTTGAGTACTGGTCAAGTATTATATAACATGTCCCTGAACTGGGATTTATCTGATGTTTTTCTCATGATCAGACTGGGGTTATGGGTTTGGAGGAGGAAGACAACAGAGGTAAGGTGCCATTTTTATCATATCAAGTGATAAATATGTATGTATAGAGAATATATACTATCAAATGATTTCTCACTGTTGAGGTTAACCTTGCTCACCTGGCTAGTTTTTGTTGGGTTTCTCCACTGTAAAGTTACTTTAACCCACCTTTCCACACTGTACTCTTTATATCAGTATGGACTCACGGATCTATTTTATTTGGGGTGGCGGTGGGGCAGGTTCCAGTACTACTTTATGTTGTTGCTCAAACAGTTCCAGTGTTGGCCATTGGAAGCTCTTTCAGTTGGCTCCTGGGTCCCTTTGATATAACCCATTCTTGTGGATTTGTTTGTTGTTGTTATTGTTTTGTTTTAAGCTCTTCCTTACTTCATGGCACTACAAGATACTACAGGTTCATCGCGTACATCTCCTGCCCAGTCCTAGAATCATCCACTTACATAAGGAGCCTTGGTTCCTTTTCCTTGGTTCCTTTTATCGTCTTGTCACATTCTGCATTCAATCCTAGGATCCCCCAACCCCTTAAATTATTTTTTCATTTGCATACATTAAGGTTCACTCTGTGTACTATAAAGTTCTATGGGTTTTAACAAATACATAGTATCATATATCCATAATTACAATATCATACAAAATAGCATCACCACCCTAAAAAATTCTCTGTACTTCACCTACTCAACCCTGCTTCCTCTGCCAGCAACCACTAATAGTTTTACTATTACTACAGTCACTTTTCCAGAATATCATATAATTGGAACCATAGAGTATGTAGCCTTTCACTTAGCAATATGCATTTAAGATTCATCCATTTCTTTTTGTGGCTTGATAGCTATTTCTGTTTATCAATGAATAATATTTTATTTTATGATATACCACAATTTATCTAATCACCTATTAAAGGACATTTTTGTTGTTTCTAGTTTTCAGAAATTATTAATAAAGCTGTCAAAACATTCACATGTAGGTTTTTGTGTAGACAAGTTTTCAAATCCATTTGGTAAATAACTAGGAGTACAATTTCTGGTGTGATAAGACTATATTTAGCTTTGTAGGAAACTGTCAAACTATCTTTTAAAGTGGCTGTTCCATTTTGTTTTCCCAGAAGCAATGAATGAGGGTTCCTTTTGCTCTGCATTCTTGCCAGCAATTGGTATTGTCAGTTTTTTTGGATTTTTGCCATTCTAATAGGTGTACAGTGGTTTCTTATTGTTGTTTAATTTGCAATTCTCATCTACAGCCATACTACCTTGAACATGCCTAATCTTGTCTAATTTGCAATTCCCTAATGACAAAAATGACATCTTTCCATATGCTTGTCATCATGTATATTTTTAGTGAGGTATCTGTTCAGTTCTTTTGCCCATTTTTTATTTGAGCAGGTAATAACTTTTTAGCCTACATCATTTTGCTGGGCACCGGGCATCAGAGTCCATCTTTGATTTTCCCTTCACTCTTATTTTTGGGCAGTATCTGGTATGCAATTTGAATTGGCCTTCTCTGAAAGCCTGCTCTCTTAACCATGACTCTGTCCTGGTCTCTAAACTGCTGCAGCTGCTGGTAATGAAGATGATGATGATGATGATATATATTGAGTGCTAACTATGTGCCATTGCATGGACTGCATTGTACATATATAAGTGTACAGCATGGATTATTCCCTTTCCTCCTCACAACAACCCTAAATGTAAATACTATCAGTATCTCTGTTTTATAAATGAGAAAACTGAAAACTAGAGAACATTAAGAAACTTGCCCATGTTTACAGCTAGTGAGTAACTGAGCCACTACTGAATCCAGAGAGTTTAAGTCCAGAGCCTATAATCTTAACCAGTATGGAATATCCACACTGCCTAGAAACTAGAAAGATAAAAAGCTAAAAACAACTTATATTCTTTCCCAGTGCTTAAAAATACTTGAAACACCAAATCAGTCATTTTTGGAAACTACCAAAAACAAATATTATCTGTGGAAAAGGAATGAAACAAATTACTGATAAGTAGTCAAAATAATGTTATCTGAATGCTGAAAATGTACTCCTACCAAGTAAAACACAGAGAAGAATTAGGCAATCTTTGCCTCAAGAATTTAATGGTTAGGACAAAGGAAGGTTTCAACATCTCCAAGTTGCAGCACTAATATGACCACAAGCAATCACAGACATATGCCTACCAGGCTCTTAGTTATAGCAACTAAAGCTGGTATATTGTCTGATGCTAACTTAGCTATTTCTCCTATTGTCCTCTGAAAAATCTTATACTAATTCTAGAAACAATAACAACTGAGATACCTAAAGAAGTGTCATTGGTAAAGAAATCATCCTTCATCTCTGTATCTCTCTCAGCCTTCGCATCACCAAGCCCCTCCAACCACTTGAGTCAGAGCTTTGAGATGAAAGGGAAATCATCACCTTATCACACACAAATAGGGTATCGGTGCCTCATGGAAGGGAAGCAGTTGAGCTGGAAATCATCACTAGGTTGTCTGAAATCCTTCCTGACGATTAACAAGCTGCTTCTGTGAAAGGAGCACATGCTATGAAGAAGAAAGATCTCCACCTTCTTCTGCTTAACTCCCAGCACCACTGAACTGGGAATCTCACATCCTGCTGCCATCGGACTTCAAAAAAAAAAAAAATCTCCTTCTGAAGAGTAAAATTTTGAGGTTTGGTTTAAAAAAAAAAACCCTCCTTTTATCCACAGAATTCTTGGAAAGAGTGTCTTCTGACTCTTCCTCTCTTTCACACTTGACAAGTAAAATTCCTCCAAAACTGGCTCCTCATTTAAATATGGGTAGGAAATAGATTTAGACTTGGCATCTTGAAAAATGGGACTGCTGACATACAAATCCTGCTACTTTATGTGGTATTGTTGACACCGCTATCACTTCTTTTACTGGTTGATCCTTGAGAGCAGCTTTAATCAGGTTAATCATTACTGTTTCCAAATTTTGTTTTTAAGTTAGCAGATGATTTGAAGATTAAACCCCTTCTAGGCTCTAATCTCATCTGGAAGTTGGAATTGTTCTTACCTGAGCTGCAAACTGTCCAGAGCATGCAGTCAAAACAAGAATGCAGGATCTCTAGAACTCTAAATGGTATTTTGGCTCCTTGGGAAGAGCTCCATGTCCCTGACAACGTTTTAAATAAATGCTTCTTTATCCAACTCTTAATTCCAACAATATGAATCATGTTCCAGGTTATTTATGAGGAAACAACATGCCCTTCTCAGACACTGTGTTACTCCCTTCCAGGCCACTATTGCAGAGCCTCCTGTTCACCTGTAATAAATGGTGCGCCCTTCCATTGTGCAGCAATTGCCTTATGTTGTGGTCCTACTTACATCAGTTAAAGTGAGCCAAAGACAAGAACTGTGTCCTCTCATCTCTGTAACCCCCTCACACAGTAGGTATTCAATAACTGTTTATTGACTTAACTGATTTAATAAATCACCCTGCGACACAGGACTGCTATTTGATAAAGTTGTTTAACAGTATCTCTTTCATGTGCTGACTATTTTAACATAAAAATATGGCCGGGCACAATGGCTCACATCTGTAATCCCAGCACTTTGGGATGCCAAGGCGGGCAAATCACAAGGTCAGAAGTTTGAGACAAGCCTGGCCAACATTGTGAAACCCCGTCTCTACTAAAAATACCAAAAACTAGCTGGGTGTGGTGGCGTGCACCTGTAGTTCCAGCTATTCAGGAGGCTGAGGCAGGAGAATCACTTGAACCCAAGAGGCAGAGGTTGAGGTGAGCCGAGATTGTGCCAGTGCACTCCAGCCTGGACTACAAGAACAAAACTCCATTTCAAAAAAAAAAAAAATAACATAAAAATTTAATGTGAAAGCAAATAGGACCTATATATTTTCACTACCATATAAATCAGATATTCACTTTTTGCTTTTTCTTTACACCCATGTCATGATGTCTGTGATTTACTCTTAAATGCTCCAACATTACGAATGTGTAAATTAACTTAATATACCCTAAAGTGTTTCAGTTACCCTAATTGGGGATCCATACTCCTGGGATGGTTAGCTAACATTTAATCAGAAAGACCACACTATCAGTGGTTACTACAAATGCTTCAACTCTCTCTATTTCTAGTCTGGCCAGAGGCTTTACTAATTAACACAATGAATGTTAGAAATGAGTTTTTCTTGATTAAAATAGTAACATATTAATTAGTATAATGGATATTAAAAATGGACTATCACTGGCAAAATTAATGTATATTCGAGATGGGTGAATTGTTTAAATATATATATATATATAAAACCAAGACATTCCCTACCCTTTTATGAAAAGGAAAGAGAAAACTTTGCCTCCACCATGGGGTCCAAGGCTGAACCCTAAACTACCATAGTTTGTGTCCAACCATAGGTTTGGAGGATTCTGGTAAAAAGTTAATTGAGTTCTTCCCCTAGAGTATTCTTACTGCCTTGAGTAAATCTTTCATGCAATGAGTAGACAAAGCATTTCTTCCTTGATCATTTGAGACTTCCTCAAGTTTATAAAGCAAGCTGTCTGATAAATGTTTACCTAAAAATATCTAAACATTGTATGTATGATGAAATTTGATCAAGTCTTGCTTTTATTGTAACCTGGTAGGGGAATGCGTAGTGGAATAGCTAACCTCTGCCCACCTCTAACTATGGGTAAATGTTATTTATTGAAAGAACCTAATCGTTTCTCATGACACATTGGCTTAGGTCAGTTTGCAACACCCCTGTAAACTGGTTGCTTTTTGCTGCTGCTATTATTTTACTTGCATTTTATGCTAAAAAGGCTTTAGTGATGAAGCAGTCTTTTCCCACAGCTGAATATCATTGGTGGAGACTAGAATTAGCAACTTCATTAGCATACGGGACTCTAACTTGGCAAACTGGCCCTTGGAGTCCAAATATGTTTAACATATACATGGATATCTTCCAAGTGTTTTCACATTGACTTTCTTTTTTTCCTAGTAACTAAAAGTGACTTCTGCCTCCAGAGAGAACACCCATGAAGTCGTGTGACAGGGGAAGCTATTCATTTCCTATTCATTAAGCCAAAATGTACACTTTCAGCTTTGGTCCCATCATTTTATCTCTACATATTTCAGCTTACATTGTTGGAGTCAGAAGGCATTTTCCAAACCAAAATTTGAAGATCCAGCATAAGAGAAAGCTTTTCATTTTTCTTTTTTTTTTTAATTTTTTTTTATTATACTGTAAGTTTTAGGGTACATGTGCACATTGTGCAGGTTAGTTACATATGTATACATGTGCCATGCTGGTGCGCTGCACCCACTAACTCGTCATCTAGCATTAGGTATATCTCCCAATGCTATCCCTCCCCCCTCCCCCCACCCCCCACCCCACCACGGTCCCCAGAGTGTGATATTCCCCTTCCTGTGTCCATGTGATCTCACTGTTCAATTCCCACCTATGAGTGAGAATATGCGGTGTTTGGTTTTTTGTTCTTGCGATAGTTTACTGAGAATGATGATTTCCAATTTCATCCATGTCCCTACAAAGGACATGAACTCATCATTTTTTAAGGCTGCATAGTATTCCATGGTGTATATGTGCCACATTTTCTTAATCCAGTCTATCATTGTAGGACATTTGGGTTGGTTCCAAGTCTTTGCTATTGTGAATAATGCCGCAATAAACATACGTGTGCATGTGTCTTTATAGCAGCAAGATTTATATTCCTTTGGGTATATACCCAGTAATGGGATGGCTGGGTCAAATGGTATTTCTAGTTCTAGATCCCTGAGGAATCGCCACACTGACTTCCACAATGGTTGAACTAGTTTACAGTCCCACCAACAGTGTAAAAGTGTTCCTATTTCTCCACATCCTCTCCAGCACCTGTTGTTTCCTGACTTTTTAATGATTGCCATTCTAACTGGTGTGAGATGGTATCTCATTGTGGTTTTGATTTGCATTTCTCTGATGGCCAGTGATGATGAGCATTTTTTCATGTGTTTTTTGCTTTTCATTTTTCTTGCCTAGTCAGAAAACCAAGTTGATGGATTCCAGACAGCACCTTCTTCCCAGCCATCACCTCGTGTGATAGCTAAGGCAGTTAATATAGATTCAGTGTTCCCTGTGGAAGTGTCCAATGCTGTGACTCAAATGTATTTTTAAGGAGGTCTAAAGGGACTGGCATTAGAAAATAATCCTGGAAGCATTAAGATGTATGAAGTGGTAGCGGCTCTCTCCATTTTCTTCAAAAGTATAACTTTCCAGAGACTCCTATGCATGCAAGGAATGCTTTCCAGGGGGTCGGGAATGTTTCTCCCTGTGTTCTGACAGGGACTCAAGGGCAGCATAAACTGGAACTCGGGACAAAAGGCACAGGCTATGTTGCAGGTCACTGAGCAAATGCCCAATGTTTTTACTGAAAACTCTTGATCTATTATCCTAGTGAATATTATATGCTAAAAGTGTTCAGGTGCCAGACTCAGGGTATTAGGCATTCCTCACAAATTGGACAGGAAGCTAAAGAAACAAGAGAAGGAAAAGAGGGGAATAATTAACAGTATTAGCAACTCCCAAATCCTGGCCTAATTCATACTCTTAATGCCTGGAAGCAAAGGGTGATCTTCCAAAGGTAAATAAAGTACAATATTTTATGCAGTTCTAATTAATATTTAAACCATAATTTCTGAAGCAAACCTGATTATTTTTTCTATTCTTGGAGAAAACTTGATTTTCAGATATTCCCTCAAATATAAAAGGGAATATCCGAAAATCAAGAAAAAAATATTTTCTTTTCTAAATTGCTAAACTTTATTTTTTATTTTATTTATTTATTTATTTATTTTTTGAGACAGGGTCACACTCTGTCACCCAGGCTGGAGCTCAGTGGTACTATCACAGCTCACTGCAGCCTCAGCCTACCCAGGCTCAGTTGATCCTCCCACCTCAGCCTCCAGAGTAGCTGGGACTAAAGAGGCAAGCAACCAGCTAATTTTTGTATTTTTGTCGAGATGGGGTTTCCCCATGTTGCCCAGGCTGGTCTCAAACTTGTGAGCTCAAGTGATCTGCCCGCCTCAGCCTCCCAAAACTAAAGTATTATTAAAAGATGACTGAATCAGTGTGCTTTTGGAGTTTTTGAATAAGGTGTATTATACCCAAAATATCAACATTCTGGATTGTGATTCATTTCACAATGTGTTCAGGCTTAGTTTACTTTAAATAAACATCCTGTCCATTAATTTTATATCAAAATATAAAGCTTCCACTTCTAGATCATCTTTATTCTAGCTTCCCTCTTACATTTTATAGAACAATAATAGAAACACAAGTTATTTTATTTTGAAGTAAATACTAAATGTAATATGCGTTACATTGAACACTAAGCTATTTACTTCTCACATCATTTATTGCAGGATATTTGAGTCAGGCAGAAAAGGTTAAGAAATTAACTCTGAATTAACCTGGAATTCAAGTTTAAGGGAATTGAGGGGAAAGGGGATATTTTCGGGTTGCCGGGAATAAAGGAATATGGTTTGATATCAGAAGCCTGTGAGAACAGAGATGAATAGGATGAAGATTCTGCTTCAAAGCAATTGACCATCAAGTAGAGAAGAGACTGATGTGCAGTAAGAAACAGAGTTTCTCACCCAGATATTGAGGTGAGCTGATAAACAAAAATAAACAAACAAAAAACCTGAAAGGGCAAGAAAAGGAGCAATCATCTCTGAGATGGTCGTGGGGTAAAAGGAGGGCTTGGGTAAAGCCCTTGGAGAAGGTGAGCTAATATTTGTTGAGTGTCTACTAATTCCTGCCCAAGTAGGACAAGATGGTCCACTTAAATCTTAAAACAGTCCTCTGAGAATGGTACAGTTTTACAGAAGATGAAACCAAAGGTTACAGAACAAAATGCTTGGGCATCTTCAGTGATCAATCGTGCAGCTAGGAAAGAAGAGATCCACCAGGGAAATGAAGTATGAATGGTTCCAAAATCCATCTCCTTTTCACTAAAAACACTTGCTTTCCTAAGAAGATATGCTAACCATCTTGTATACATTAACCCACCTAATCTCATTTAATCCTCACCTAAATCCCTGTGCAATAGGCATGGTTAACCCCAGTTTACAGATGAAGAAAGCAAGTCCAAATAAGCAAGTTAACTTGACCAAAGCGCCACACTTTGACCAAAGTCAAAGATTCAAACAAAGTCTGCCTCACTCTCACTTGAAGATCAGCTTGAAATCTGAGTAGAACCACAATAGGTGCAGATGAAGGAGAGATTCAAAGAGAGCTCACTTCCCATTTCCCTACACTGATGCCTGGAGGTCACAGTACCTGCAAAGCCAGAATTGAGGGTCCACTGGACTTTTTATTTTCCCAAAGAATATTTACTACATCCTATGACCCTTATCAAAGGGCAGACAGCATAAACTTTATAAGCCGACTGCTACCAGCACAACTTTTCCCTAGAGAACTCCACTCTCCAGAATTCCAGGCCACCATCCAAAATTCCAAATACCCTCAGAGAGGGAACTCTGAGGTAAACAGATCCCATCTTCAGAGAGTAACCAAAGAGCCTCTGGCCATGACTCAGGAGATTAGCCACTGCCTTGATTCATCTCTGCAAAGTCAGCCTGTGGGGCTTCCCAGAGCCATGAGGAGGAAGTGGGCCAGGAAGGAATCAATAATTGCCACCCACAGATGTGCCTGTGAGTGCTATAAAGGGAATGACCGAGAACACCTAGGGGAGGTTCTCAGAACACGCAGCCAGTCCTCTATGTTGGAGCAAGTCTTAGTTCTTCCAGGCACGAATTTTTAGTGCCCACTTCTGTTCCTTAGCAAAAAAGGAAAAAAAAAAAGAGAAAAAGAAAAGAAAGCAGGAATGAACTTTTAATAACATTCTTTCAAACCAGAATGGGCAAGAAAGGTTTTTCCAGCTATATATGGAAAAATGTCCTGGCTCTGCCAAGTACCTAAAGGAGACTTCCAATCCTCTGACGTATGAAATCATGATCTAAACAACAAATTCCGAGCTCAAAACAGTTTCCAAGGGAAGAAAAGGGAGCTCAGTTATCCAAATGTGTGCATACCTTCTGGACTAGCAGCAGTGGGAAACTGAATGCCGCATTTATCCTTGAAGATTAAATCTTCTGCAAGAGAAATAGCATGAGTCTCGTGTTTGGTCCTTGAGTGACTCCTCTCTTCTATAACTTTACAGACTTTTAAATAACCATTATCATCAATCTTGAAACAAAACAATCAAATACTTGACCATGTTGAGCTAATTCTTAAATCAATTATAAGAATATTTTATTCAACAAAATATAAAGTATTTTTACACACATTTTCTATTTTTAAATGTAATTTTTAAAAATATATAATGGAGTATAAAAGAAAAAAGAAGAGCATTATTTCAGACAATATCACCTCTTCTATACTGCAAATATATCATGAGGTTTTTTTAAGTTAGGATATTAAATGTCATTAAATAAAGACATGATTAGGAAATGCTTATCGGGTCTAAGGTATTTCATTAACATTTATGTTTAGCTGACTTGATAAGAAGATGAGTTAGAAAGTATGGTTATTGCAAGCATATTAAATGAGGACCTGGTGGCCATGGGCCCAAGGAAGAGAACACTTGAGAGTAAATTTCTTCTGAGGCTTGAAGACTATCTCATGGAAGAGAAAGTAGACTTGTTGTGAATAACTCCAAAGACATCAAAAGGATCACTGGACAGAGGTTAGGAGCAAGGCAGATGCGGGGTCAATATAAGGAAGAACCTTCAAACTATTTTAGCTGCCCAAAGATAGAATGAGTAATTCATTCTCTTTTGCTAGAAATATGTAAGCGAAAGTTAAGCACCTGGCAGGGATTCTTTACTATTTTTAGCAATAGAGAATACATTCCTATTTTATTTCTAGTCAGCACTGATATTTCCTAACAATTGTGATTTTCAAAGGGATTTCCCCATGGGTTGCTCAAATTCTCTCGTTCAAAACTAAATCCTTATTTTTTCTCTTAAGCAGCATGTCTATTTTTGCTATCTCAGTAAAAGGCACCTTCATCCATCCATTGCAAAAGCTCAAAGCCTATGCAATGTCTTATACTCATCTTCTTTCTCATGCTAAATATGTGATCACTTCCCAAGTCTTATCCATTCTCCCTCTCAAATATCACTCACGTCAGATGATAGGTTAAAAAAGATGACCCTCTTGTACAAGAGCAGTGGCCCTCAACCTTAGCTGCTCATTAGAATCATCTAGAGAGTACTTAGAATGTAAGGTGATTTTAATATTCTCAAGCTGTGCCCCAGACCAATTAAATACAAATCTCTGTGGGATAGACCAGGCATTAGCAGTTTAGCTCTCAGGTGATTTCAATGTGCAGCCAGAACTGAGAACCATTGAAAAAGAGGCAAGAAGGCCAGACAAGAAGGTACTGAATTGAAGTAATCAAAATATGAAATTATGCACTAGGGTAGTTACAATTGGAATTGAAATTTGAAAAATATTTTGAGACAATTGAGAGAGATACTGGAACACAGTGCCAACCTCTCATGGCAGTTCTTTTCATCCCATGCCATGGTCAGAAATAACCCAGCAACCAATTACTTCCCAAAGTAACTGAAGGTAAAGGTATCTGAATGGATCAGCTCAAACTTTTCACTATCCCTGAGGAACAACCTACACTGAGTTAGGCAGGTAGATCACTTGAGATTAGGAGTTCAAGACCAGCCTGGCCAATATGTGAAACCCCGTCTCCACTAAAAATACAAAAGTTAGCCAGGCGTGGTAGCACAGGCCTGTAGTCCCAGCTACTCAGGTGGCTGAGGCAGGAGAATGGCTTGAATACAGAAGTCAGAGGTTGCAGTGAGCCAAGATCACACCACTGCACTTCAGCCTGGGTGACAGAGCAAGACACTGTCAAAAAAAAAAAGAAAGAAAAAGAAAAAAGACTATTTGAATATCTTTTATTTCTTTCTCTTGCCTGATTGCCCTGGCCAGAACTTCCAATACTATGTTGAATAGGAGTGGTAAGAGAGGGCATCCTTGTCTTGTGCTGATTTTCAAAGGGAATCCTTCCAGCTTTTGCCCATTCGGTATGATGTTGGCTGTGGGTTTGTCATAAATAGCTCTTATTATTTTGAGACATGTTCCATGTCTCTCTGTCTCTGTTTGCAGATAACATGATTGTATATTTAGAAAACCCCAGCATCTCAGCCCAAAAACTCCTTCAGCTGATAAGCAACTTCAGCAAAGTCTCAGGATACAAAATAAATGTGTAAAAATCACAAGCATTCCTATACACCAATAACAGACAAACAGAGAGCCAAATCATGAGTGAACTCCCATTCACAATTGCTACAAACAGAATAAAAATACCCAGGAATACAACTTACAAGGGATGTGAAGGACCTCTTCAAGAAGAACTACAAACCACTGTTCAAGGAAATAAGAGACGACACAAACAAATGGAAAAACATTCCATGCTCATGGATAGGAAGAATCAACATCGTGAAAATGGCCTTACTGCCCAAAGTAATTTATAGATTCGATGCTATTCCCATCAAGATACCATTGACTTTCTTCACAGAATTAGAAAAAACTAGTTTAAACTTAACATGGAACCAAAGAAGAGCCAGTATAGCCAAGACAATCCTAAGCAAAAAGAACAAAGCTGGAGGCATCATGCTACCTGACTTCAAACTATACTACAAGGCTACAGGAACCACAACAGCATAGTACTGGTACCAAAACAGAGATATAGACCAATAGAACAGAACAGAGAACTCAGAAATAACACCACACATCTACAACCATCTGATCTTTGACAAACCTGACAAAAAAAAAAAGCAATAGGGAAAGGATTCCCTATTTGATAAATGGCATTGGGAAAACTGGCATTCAGAAAACTGAAACTGGGCCCCTTCCTTACACCTTACACAAAAATTAACTCAAGATGGATTAAAGACTTAAACGTAAGACCTGAAACCATAAAAACGCTAGAAGAAAACCTAGGCAATACCATTCAGGACATAGGCATGGGGAAAGACGTCATGACTAAAACACCAAAGCAATTGCAACAAAAGCCAAAATTGACAAATGGGATCTAATTAAACTAAAGAGCTTCTGCACAGCAAAAGAAACTATCATCAGAGTGAACAGGCTACCTACAGATTGGGAGAAAATTTTTGCAATCTATCCATCTGACAAAGGGCTAATATCCAGAATCTACAAAGAACTTAAACAAATTTACAAGAAAAAAACAACCCCATCAAAAAGTAGGTGAAGGATATGAACAGACACTTCTCAAAAGAAGACATTTATGCAGCCAACAAACATATGAAAAAAAGCTCATCATCAGTGGTCATTAGAGAAATGCAAATCAAAACCACAATGAGATACCATCTCACGCCAGTTAGAATGGCGATTATTAGGAAGTTAGGAAACAACAGATGCTGGCAAGGCTGTGGAGAAATAGGAACGCTTTTACACTGTTGGTGGAAGACAGTATGGCGATTTCTCAAGGATCTAGAACCAGAAATACCATTTGACCCAGCAATCCCATTACTGGGTATATACCCAAAGGATTATAAATCATTCTATTATAAAGACACATGCACATGTATGCTTACTGCAGCACTATTTACAATAGCAAAGACTTGGAACCAACCCAAATGCCCATCAATCATAGACTAGATAAAGAAAATGTGGCACATATACAGCATGGAATACTATGCAGCCATAAAAAAGAATGAGTTCATGTCCTTTGCAGGGACATGGATGAAGCTGGAAACCATCATTTTCAGCAAACTAACACAGGAACAGAAAACTGAACACTGCGTGTTCTCACTCATAAGTG
Organism: Homo sapiens; assembly: GCF_000001405.40. Classification (NCBI taxonomy): domain Eukaryota; kingdom Metazoa; phylum Chordata; class Mammalia; order Primates; family Hominidae; genus Homo; species Homo sapiens. Next base: position 197,905,321 of record NC_000002.12, on the reverse strand, counting down.
TGAGTTGAACAATGAGAACACATGGACACAGGGAGGGGAACATCACACACTGGGGCCTATTGGGGGATAGGGTGCTAGGGGAGGGATAGCATTAGGAGAAATACCTAATGCATGTGGGGCTTAAAACCTGGATGACGGGTTGATGGGTACAGCAAACCACCATGGCACATGTATACCTATGTAACAAACCTGCACATTCTGCACATTTATCCCAGAACTTAAAGTATAATAAAAGAATTTTAAAATTAAAAAAGGAGAAAAAAAATGAAGCATTTGTGCAAGAAGACAACAAAATGCTTTATCAGAGTCACCTATGGCATGCCCTGAAAAATTAGATGCTAAAAAAGTTTTGGCTACCTACAAAGCAAGGAATGTGTCCATCTAAATCACATTCTAAGATCTAATATTTACATATGTGATATTCATAAATATTAGAGCTAATAATACTTTTGATAATTGACTAAATATTATTCTTAAGATTGAAATTTTTATTATATGCAACAAACAAAATTTTTCTTCAAAAATTTTTTTCTAATTAACAGAATTATGCACATATTATCATATGCATTTAGTTCAAAGATAAAATCACTGTCAGACCAATATACCTTGCCATCCCTAGAAACAGCCCTGATTTACCACAACTATTTCCTCAGGAAGTGGGGTGGGAGTAGAAAGCCACTAAACTCCTACACTCGTCTGTCAGCCCATGACACTCTGTGATGGCACAAGAAACCCAAGAATAGGCCATGAAATGAGTTAAAGTCATATACTGTAGGCACCCTACTCCGACTTCCTGGGCCTGCTCAGTGTATTGCCAAGAAAAAACCAATAAAGGAAATCTGTGACTATCCATTAAGCCAAATTTTACTGCCTTTTTCTAAACTTTCTAATACAAAAGAAATGAAATAAAACCATCTAAGGGAACGACTTTTTAAACCCTGCAAAAAGAATACAAGTACATGAGATGAGACCATGAAGAAAAACAACGGAATAAAGAACCCAAAATTCAGTTAAGGGAATACCTCTGAAGTGGAGAGAAAGGGAAGGGCCTAGGGAGGAGAACATGCAGAACTCCAAAGGAAACAGTAATGCTCTGCTTCCTAAACTGACTGTCTGATGTTCACACCAGATGTTTGTTTTATTCTTCTTTGCACCTTTCACATATCTAATGAGTATTTATGTAATTAATACCTAAAACAATGTTTAAAGATTGTTTTTGGGCCAGGTATGGTGGCTCACGCCTGTAATCCCAGCACTTTGGGAGGCCGAGGTGGGCAGATCGCCTAAGGCCAGGAGTTCGAGACCAGCCTGGCCAACATGGTGAAACACCGTCTCTACTAAAAATACAAAAATTAGTTGGGTGTGGTGGTACATGCCTGTAATCCCAGCTACTCGGGAGGCTGAGGCAGGTGAATCGCTTGAACCCAGGAGGCGGAGATTGCAGTGAGCCGAGATCGCACCATTGCACTCCAGCCTGGTCGACAAGAGCGAGACTTTGTCTCAAAAAAAAAAAAAAAAAGGCCGGGCACTGTGGCTCACGCCTGTAATCCCAGCACTTTGGGAGGCTGAGGCGGGCAGATCACGAGGTCAGGAGATCGAGACCATCCCGGCTAACACGGTGAAACCCTGTCTCTACTAAAAATACAAAAAAAAAAAAAAAAAAAAAAAAAAATAGCTGGGCGTGGTGGCGGGCACCTGTAGTCCCGGCTACTCAGGAGACTGAGGTAGGAGAATGGCGTGAACCCGGGAGGAGGAGCTTGCAGTGAGCCGAGATCTCGCCACTGCACTCCAGCCTGGGCGACAAAGCGAGACTCCGTCTCAAAAAAAAAAAAAAAAAAAAAAAAAAAAAAAAATTTAAATGGAGTAAAAAGGAAGATACATAGATTTTTGTCCCAAGCCTGAAACTGTGTAACCTTTAGCCAGATATTCCTCTGAGATTTATTTTAGTAAAATACAGGCATTGGACTAGAGCAGGAGTAGGCAAACTGGGGCTCATCAGCTGCTTTTATAAATAAAGTTTTATTGAAACATAAGCAAATCCATGCGTTTGCATAGTGTCTGTGGCTGCTTTTACAACAGTAGCTAGTGGTAAGTAGTAGCAATAGAGATCATATGTTCTGAAAATCCTAAAACATTTATTATATGATCCTTAAGAAAGGTTCCCAACCTTGGGCTGGGGAATTATCGTGGTTTCGCCTAACTAACAAAGGCTAATATTAAGGGGAAAAATGGTAGTATCAAAACACGCTAACACCTGTTGGCTCACTGATGGACCAAAATTTATTTTTGGTACTTTCCATAAATGTTTTGTTTAGGTTAAATGCCCCATATTTGTAAAATCTCATGAACTGTATCAACAGATTTTAAACATATATTTTGTACAGTGTATCAATAGTAACAGGAGTGCAGAATCAGCACTCTCCTGAGCTGGATGCTGAGATCTGTCTCTGAAACTAAAGCTTGTAACTGAAAACCTGGGCTGGGAAATCTCTGAAGCCCAAGACACTCCAGCTCTTGTGAAGACTCTCAGCTCACTTAGAATCAGAGAAGTTCATTCCCAGAACTCCCCATATGCTGTCCCAGGGTTTTCTCAAGGAGAGTTTTAGTCTCAGCATACACATGTATGCACATGGAAAAGCCTGGCATTTGTCATTTTTAAATGCCAAGAGTGGTAAGTTCATCCTGTTCTTCATACCAGTATGTTCACTTTTATATCTGGGCAAACAATCCATTAGCCTACAAAACTATTAGGGAACTGCCTATTCCAGAGATAAAAAACAGGAAAATATTTTCTCCTCAAACTTTTTCCTGTATAGCTGTAGCTCTTTGTTCTCCTTGATGTCCTCCTGTGACATCAATGATCCAATGTCACGTTCACACTTGGGACTGACAGCTGCCAAACCCAAACTTGCCATGCTGCCTAAAGTCCAACAATTACTTGGATGACCAAGTAGCATGAATGACCGGAAACCACTCTGAGTACCTAACTTCTGGTTCTGAAAAACCCATGAAATTAACTAAAACTAAGACATTGGTTGGAACTATATCCATTCCAGGGTCTATAGATTCACAAGAGCAACAAGCCCAGAATTCCCTTCCTTGGCTGTCCTAGGATAGCTGCGTATCAGGCCCACAAAAGGGTCGTAATGCAGAAAATGGGGCTGCTCAGTGCCCCAACAGTCTCTGGAGCCACAGCCAGTATGCCATCCTTGTTTGACACATAGTGCTTCTGTTATTTTCATTTAACTGAAAGCAACAAATCTCCTTTTTTCCCTCTAAAAATAAGAGTTTATGAGGGTTTATATGATTTCTTTTCTAGCCTGCATTTCATGTGCATAGATCAAAGTTACTTGTTTGATAAGAAGTGCTTAACATAGGAAACTATTTTGGTATATAGGTCTTTAGGGAATTTTGACTTTGGGCAAGAAAGAACACTTGGAGTCGAAATGAGAGGACCTGGATTCTAGTTTTTTGTATCAAGCTGGAAAGGCACCTAACCTCTCAAGACATATTTTTCTGAAGTAAACTTATTGGAATAAGTGATCTGAAGATAACTCTCATCTGCCTCCTTTCAATGAATAACTTTGCTCCCAAATCTAATGAGCTTGAAGCTTTGAAAGAAACTCCTTGATGTCTTCACTTCAAATTGCTCTGAATCTTTATCCTCTCGGTCTCTGCTTCCTCTCTCTCTCTCAGTTGGAAATATCCTTCCTTCTTAAGGTACACTTTCCACGCTGGCTCCCCTTCTGTCTCTTCTGGAACATTGCTGTTGCCTGAACGTGACCCATAATATTCGATCTCTATGCCTCTGCTCATGATATATTGTCATCCTACTTCATCGGAAAATCTCATGCAAGATCCAACAGAAATCCCACTTACTGCCTCTTGCCTTTTCTGAATCTTTACTGGTAGTGATCCCTTTGTCCTGTGCATCTCACCAGCTTTTATTTTATTTATTTATTACAGTACTGACCTGTATCAAAAAGATTGTATATTTTTGCCTTTTCTGCTAGATTATAAATTCCTCATTTCTTAGTTAACTTCCTATGCCTTATAATGTCTTACACAAAATAAGCACTCAACCTGTACTGAGTAATGATGAATAAAGTAGATTAAAAGTCTCCTCATATACTGATTCTGGATTCTGATTCGAAAAAGCTTCACTTCTATTGTCTGTAGCCCTTATCATGAAAGGGGTACACTTTAGAAACACATATCTTTATTATTGAGTAAATTATCAGCTAGTCACAAATTCGATCCCAAAAGACATCACTTCTCAATGTGTATGTACCTAATCCATTTTTCTGTTTCCCTAGTTTAGAGATTTTTTTCAAAATCCCAGGAAGTAAAGTTGAGTAAGGGAGAGACTGGCAACAAAGGCTTAAACAAAACACTTACAATCTTTGAAGAAAAATCACTGTAGACAGGAAAGCCTTGAGGTAGGAATGGGACTTCCACTCCAAACAACTTACTCTTGCATCTTCCAAGAAAAACCCTCCAGAAAAGCCCTTAGATTTTACTGCTTGTCAAAAGTTAGCATTTTTTTCTTGTTTTGAAAAAACATTATTTATGACAACCCTTTCACTTTGTAAACATACAATAAATAATTAGTTGAGTGAAAACAACTTAACAGTAAGAGCACAAAAGACTAAGAGGTAGTAATAAAAACTGAAATGAGAAGTCAAGTGTTCAATTTATTTTGCCCAGATTCTCCAGGGATTTTGTACTAGGGCTAAGTTAGACAATGATCCCGAGGTCCAAGGACTATTCTTTCACACATTGGTGAGACCCACAGCATCTTCTGCACTCAAATGTTTCTGAATATTTATACTCTTGGACAATATATTTAAATATACAACATTAAATTCTGTTTTCTTATTCTTTTCTTAATTTTCCCAAGATTCACTTTATTTCTTCTCAGTCCATTCCATTCCATCTTAATCACTATTTCTGACTCCTCTTATGAAAACAATCATGATCTTTAGCTCCATTTCACCTAAACTTAGAATTTACTGTCCTACTTAATAGATTCTAAAATATTTCCTCTGTAAAGTTGGTAAGCTGTCTTGCATGTATTTATTCAGTTAGTGAATATTTATTGGCCACTTACTATATGTACTCACTCTTCTAAGTGCTGGAAATACAGCAGTGATCAAAACACACAAATTACTGCTCTCAAAGAGCTTACATTTTAGTGGTGGGGACAAACAATAAACACATGTATGTCAGGAGGTGTTAAGTGCTATAAAGAAAAGTGAGGCAGGTATGGGACTAGAAAGTGCTGTGAGGAAAGTACTAGCTTAGGTAGCATGGTGAAGGGCAGAGTGGGGTAGCAAACCTTACAAAAGTCTACAGGAAGAACATTCTTGGTAGAAAGAACTCATGTGGGCCGGGCGCGGTGGCTCACGCCTGTAATCCCAGCACTTTGGGAGGCCGAGGCGGGCGGATCACGAGGTCAGGAGATCGAGACCATCCTGGCTAACACGGTGAAACCCCGTCTCTACTAAAAATACAAAAAATTAGCCGGGCGTGGTAGCGGGCGCCTGTAGTCCCAGCTACTCGGGAGGCTGAGGCAGGAGAATGGCGTGAACCTGGGAGGCGGAGCTTGCAGTGAGCCGAGATCGCGCCACTGCACTCCAGCCTGGGCGACAGAGCGAGACTCCGTCTCAAAAAAAAAAAAAAGAAAGAAAGAACTCATGTGCCAAGGCCCTGAGGCAGAATCCTTCTTAGTCTGGTTAAGGAATAGCAATGGATAGTTAGAAAACTCTATAGCCCATCAGATTATACTAGCTGAAGACTTCATTTAATTAAGGTTCATAAACCTTCTACTATTATTTAAATTACTTTCCAAATAGAAATTGTCACATGAAACAAAATAATCTAAACTACACTGTCCTCTTGAATTAATTGCTGAGTACCAGTAGGTATTCAGACAGTGACAGATGGACAAAACCATTTTCTGGCTCTAAAGCATCCTAGATGTGAAAATGACTTTGTGTGATAGTAATTCATTTCCTCCAAAGTCTTATTCTTATTCTTATCCTTAGTCTGTCTAAGTAAATGAAATGACAACCTAAATATATGTAAATTATGAAATATGTGTCTAAAAATTCTTCACGATACTTAATCACTAGCATCATTATTCTTATTTATGTGCTCTCATTCTCCTCCACTGGATTGTAAATTCCATGAGAGCAGAGAATCTGTTTTGTTTAACACTATTCCCAGTGTCTGGAAAACAGTACTTGAGTTGTATACTAGACACTCAATGAATATTGAAGATCAAACAGGAATACAACAAAAAGGAGACAGAAATATGCTGTTACTTTGGTTAAAGACAGCCTATGTCATTGAGGTGATGGCAATAAGAAAACCAGTAATATTGTGTGAGTCTTTATCGAACGGCAGGTACTGTGCTGAATGCTCTACAGTGCAGTATGCAGTGTATACAACAACTTTTCGAAGTAAATACTATTATTATCCTTATGCTACAATTGAGGAAACAGAGGCTGAAAAGGTGAGTATGACCAATTTGCAAGCATCAGAGTTCAGGTTCGAACACAGGGTATTTGAGTCAAGGACTAAAGAAACTAGGAAATACATACACACACACATTTATATTAATAAATTATAAGTATTGTAAAAATGTTCTATCAGGAAGACAAAACTAGGAACAGAGCACAAAGTTAAGGATGAACAGGTACTTGTCAGATAGAAGAAGGGCAAAACATGAGGGTTCTCTTGGGCATGATGCCAAGATCAGCCTTGCAGTACATTTTATAAATGGACTAGAAGAGACTGAGTAATCTGATGTTTCAAATTTTGCAAATGACACATTAAGCATCTTTGGGGTGTGAAATGCCAACCTGATAAAAATAAAACAAAGTACACTTAGAGAATGACAAGCTATAAGTTCACAGAGCCCAAGAACGGGATCTGGCAACTTCATGAAGCAGGTAGGTGTCTTTCTGATTTCCATTTCAGTACTTGCTTTCCTGGTTCAGAGCATTCCACTGTCCTCTGATCTATCAAGACCCTTGAGCCCAGTAACCTACCTCATGGCATAGTTAAGGCAAGAAGGCCCCCAAGAACTCATAGAGTTAGCCAAGACCTGAAATTTGAACTAACTACACTTGGTGTTCAGATCAGGACATCCAGCCCTGCCAATCAGAAAGATCTAATTAGTCCCAGTCTGCAAGGGAACAAATGCCAGAAGACTACAACTCAGCTCAGCTGTACCTTCTCAAACTGGACAGACGCCTTTTAGCTAAAATGCGTGGCTTCTCTACACGGAGATGGTGAGCCTGTGGAACTTATTACTATAATATATGGCACAAACTGAAAATACAACTGTAGCATAAGAACTTTTAATGAATTCATGATCATGAATCCAAATGGGATTTCAGGTAAACTAGGGCCACTTCTGACATAACAAAAATCAGTTTCAGCTCCTGTCACATGCTTCTTGAGGTAACATTGGATATGCGATACTAGAGCTGAATGGATCACAGATCTGACATATGTGAAAATTCTCATATAAAATATTTAGTAGCTACCAGACCTCAGAATAACAAATTTGCCTCTTAATGCTTTAACACTTAAATCCTTTAATGCATATTCACCTGACATCCAGAAACCAGCAATCTTTATGTTTTTGGTCACTAAACAAGTAATTACAGCATTAAAAATGTTCATTAACAAATAAATATCTTATTAATTAAAGCAAACAATAATTTTTGTTTGTTTTTTTCTCATTTAATGCATATTAAAAAAATAAGTTAGGTACCCTTATTATTCTGATATTTTAGATAAGAAAACTAAGGATTTTAGAAGTTCTGTGACTTAGCCAAGACACTATGGCTATTAGTTGGTAGAGCAGGTAGCCAAACCCTGACGGTATGGCCTCAGAAGCCACACTATGAACCACAAACACTCTATATTGCCTCCATTGTCTTCTACAATAATGCAAATTCATTATAATGTACATCCTTACATATTAATCTGCAAATTAAATCCTCTATTTCAGCACAACTAGATACAACATATAACAAGTTAAACAAAAAAGAAGAGGAAGAGGAAGAAGGAGGAAGAAGAAGAGGAAGAAGAGGAAGAAGAAAGAAGAAGGAGAAGGAGAAGAAGAAGAAGAAGAAGAAGAAGAAGAAGAAGAAGAAGAAGAAGAAGAAGAAGAAGAAGAAGAAGAAGAAGAAGAAGAAGAAGAAGAAGGAGTCATACTTCTATCCCCAAAGGTATCATTATGGAAATGTTCAACTATACTGTTTGGCTTAATCACAAAATACTAAAAGCAGTATATAGTTTTCTAATGAAAATGACATGTCTGTCATAAACCCCAAATCTCAAATTTAGGGGTTTTTATCTTCTTTCTATCTGCTCTAAAATACAGAGGGTAATTTTAAGACAGAAAAGCACAACTGGAGAATCATCAGTGGCCACATGGAACCATTCTTAGAGATAACATTTTCATGTAAAACAGAGACCAATCACTCTGTGGACACAAAACAAATTCTATCTGGAAAAAAGCCACCAATGAAAGGAAAGCAAATGCAAAACTCTTTTAGCATTTTAACTAAATTGCATGTAAACAAAGATTACCAAACTTTAAGCAGCAAAACTGGTGGCTTATAGAAAATGAGCTTGAACGCAGACATGTACCAAAACCACGTCGATCTGCAATTTATTATGCCTGATGTTAAGCACCATTCTCACATTTTACACATCTACCATATAAAATAGCCATTTCAAACTGTTTAATACTGGAGATTAGTCTTTATCTTTTAGAGTCATATGCTGAAATATTTATGGATAAAATAAAAATGATATGATTCCAGATTGGAAAAAGAAGAGAGTGGAAAGAGGAGCAGGTGAAACAAGGGAAACCATGAGTTGAGAATTGTTGAAGCTGAGAGATGGGCACATAGGGCTTTGCTCTAGGATGCTCTTTGTTTTTTATTTATACTACTCTACTTACTTATGCATATTTCTGACATGTCACATAATGAAAACTGTTTTTAAGCTAAGAGTTTGTAAAGTACAATTATACTTGAATTAATACGGAATTTGGTATTAATTTGTACACTAGATAGAATAATCTATACAACAATTTAAAATTCAGAGTATTAACAGAACATAAAGTCTCCACTAAACAATACACAGTTTATAATCTGCCTCATTTAGTTCAGTGAAAGCCTGAGACTACTAGGTCAAAGTTACAGGTTCAATTTTGTTAAGAAGTAGTTTGCTTTCTTCTGTCTCTCAAATGTATAATTCTAATCTCAGCCAGGCATTCCAAAAATGCATTTTAGCCCCTAAAACAAAGAATAATATATAATGTTGAATGAGGACAGCAATTACCAAAAAAAACCCCACATCATTATACATGACAGTATAATCGAAAGATGATCAGTTCAACAGGAATTGCAGGGTATGGTTCCAATAAGCTTCAAAACCAACAGGCCTTAGAGCTTCACTGATGTGTTCCATTCTCCTTCAAGGCTTCTAACTCAAGGCCCATATTTCACATGTTAATGTTGATTCTCATGATCATTCTACAACACTAAATTGCGAAGTTCCACATTTTGCTTCTAATAAACACAAATGGCCCTAGTATGGCAAGATCCAACTTATCATGGAAATGCTTCTTGATTATTTACCAAATGTGTATGCAAAAAAACTGTTTCCAGAGCACACTATTTAAAGTACATATATATAAATGTTCTGAATTCTTCATTATAACTAGCAACCCAAAATGATAGTAGTATATACTTATATTTTACAACCTGCTTTATAAATATCACAAAAGCAACTACGTCAGGAAAGTAGCGCTCCTTGACTTCATTAAGAATTACATGAATTTCTACATATGGAAATTTGCTTTATATGTATATATATGTAAAATATATAACAAAAAGAAAAATAAAAATGATTGATCTTTTATTTACCTATATTCTTCTCTTAGATGCACACATCTTAATTAATATTTTCCTTTCAAAATGGCTCTAGAATGGCACCTTTTACTTTCTCTGACTCAAGATGGTTTACTGAAGTGAAATGGAGACGAATGGAGGATGGGGAGAGATGTCAGTGGATTCCATTTTGAGGGAGCACTTTTATTCTTGGTAGAGAGTATGCTCTCTCCAAAGTGATAACTTATGACAATTTTATCTGGCACTTGTATCTCTTTTATTAAACATAATTGCTGTGTATTTAATCAAAAGGGAAGTCCACTGGGCCAACACTTTTAAATTACTTCCCCTTTCTGTAAGAAACAAAAACTAAACCTTTTTATCAAGGGAAATAGATAAACAGCTTCCAAGTTCAACAAGCCATGGTGTTGTATGGAAAACAAAGAACTAGAAAGAAAGAGAGTTAAAACACAGTGAAGTTAGCCCAGCTCTGTGGTGCTGCCAGCCATGTGCCATGTCATGAATCCCCTATCCTCACTTGGAAAAGGAGGGACCATGGTTCAGGAGGTGACCCAGGATTATAGCACAAGTCCATCTGACTCCAAAACTTCTCTTTACATTTCACTTACCTGAGAAACAGAATATACATCGTCACTTGGCTGCAGCTTTAAATACACTCATGAATAGGTTTTTGCTTCTTCATAAAAACACTCAGCTCTAGGCAAACACACACAATCCAAGGCTTGCTGATCCTACACCATTCTTAAGACAAGCGGCCACAGTTTAATTCCAATTCTTAACTAATTTACATGCATGCATAAAATAAACATTTACAAAGGATGATAAGGTAGATGTGTAACTATTGCACCCAAAAAAAAATGAGCTAGTTATACTGACAAAGAACTATTAAGAATCCAGCACCCCTTCTCTTCTCCCATGTAATTATAGTTCTTTAAATTTGACTTTCCCCAGAAGTGAGCAGAAAAGAGCTGCCTAGCACTCAGAAGCAATAATCACAAAATTCATCAGTGGCAGGAAACTATGAGGATGTGCACTCAATGTTTATCCAATGCTATTTGCTCCAAATAGAATTACGGTAAGACTGTGACAGGCACTGTAGGCTGGCTCACTCAACACCTATTGTCAACCACCTGTCTCCCTTGCCTGCCTCTACTTTTAAGGTTGACAAAGCTAAATATTCACTTTCCCTGCCTTTTCATAAGGCAGGAACGGGGCATGGACAGGGGATAGACAAGATGACATGTACCAACTCTCTGGCCAATATGACTTAAATAGAAGTCAGCTGGTGGAATTTCTGGGCAGCTTTTTCTTTTCCTGATAAGAGAGACAGATGAGGCTGGCACTACCCCCCACCCCTTACTGCACACACACTCCATCACCCTTCTCCCAGAGCTAGGGCAGCCACCTTGGCAAGTAGGAGGAGACAAGCCTGAGAACGAAAGTCAACATATGCAAAACGGCAGAGCAAAAAGTCAAAGAGCCTGGGTCTCTGAACAGCAGAATCAGCACTAGCAACTGCCTACCTCCAGCTTCTAATTATACAAAAACATTAAATCCCTATTTGTTTAAACCACTCTAAGTCAAGCCTTCTGTTGCTTGAAGCTATTTCTCTAACATTCAAATAAACACTATGGTAAGTAGCCACGTAAAGCCCAGCTACCCTAGAGCATTTAAGCACCTAACTTTCTTTGGGTTTAAATTTGCATGCTGAGATGAAAACACACCGGACTCCAGACCAGGCATTCACTGTGACTTGCTTTTGACCTTAGCCAAATCATTTCACTTCTCTGAGCCTCAGCCTTCTCACATTTGTAAAGTCACATTTGTAATGATGCCTGTGCTGCCTATTTCACATGACTGTTCTGAGGGTCAAATGAAGGACCTCACTTTGAATAAACCCTAACGTGCTATAGGAATGTAAAAGTTGTATACTCCTTGAATGTATTATGCTCCCTGTATATATATTTAGTTGCCACCTATCTCACTCCCAAATCTGACAACAAATATACTATGGCACTGAATTTACTCAAGAACACTACACAAGATACTGGTTTTTTAAGTATTCTTCCCTAAAGGATATTTATGCTTTCTAGCCAACACACAGAATCTACTTTGAAGCAAAAAGGTTCAAATCTAATAAGAGACAGTATATATGTAGTGAAGGCAGACAAAAGAGGTACTCTAAAGTTACAGATATTCCAAATTCTGCTTTATAATTCATCTGTTGGTTATATCTGATTAAGAAATTTGATTAAGGAACAACTATACCAAGAAATAAGCAATGGTGGCTTTGTAACTCAATACAGTTAACTAACTTCAAACCTCTTATTCTGTGAAAGTTCCTCCTACTCAAAAGCGTTTTTCAGGTTTTTTTGTTGTTTTTTGTTTTGTTTTGAGATGGTCTCTTGCCCAGGCTGGAGTGCAGTGGCGCGATCTCAGCTCACTCCAACCTTCCCCTCCCGGGTTCAAGCGATTCTCCTGCCTCAGCCTCCTGAGTAGCTGGGACTACAGGCGCGTGCCACCACACACCCAGCTAATTTTTGTATTTTTAGTAGAGACAGGGTTTCACCATGTTGATCAGGCTGATCTCGAACTCCTGACCTCGTGATCCGCCCACCTCAGCCTCCCAAAGTGCTGGGATTACAGGTGTGAGCCACCATACCTGGTCCAAAAACAATCTTTAAACATTGTTTTAGTTATTAATTACATAAATACTCATTAGATATGTGAAAGGTACAAAGGTACAAAGAAGAACAACAAAACAAACATCTGTCTACCGCCAGCTTCTAATTATACAAAAACATTAAATCCCTATTTGTTTAAACCACTCTAAGTCAAGCCTTCTGTTGCTTGAAGCTATTTCTCTAACATTCAAATAAACACTATGATAAGTAGCCACTTAAAGCCCAGCTACCCTAGAGCATTTAAGCACCTAACTTTCTTTGGGTTTAAATTTGCATGCTGAGATGAAAACACACTGGACTCCAAACCAGGCATTCAATTTAGGATCAGACACTCAGTTTAGGAATCAGACAGTCAGTTAGGATCAGACAGTCAGTTTAGGAAGCACAGCATTACTGTTTCCTTTGGAGTTCTCACGTTCTCCTCCCTAGGCCCTTCCCTTTCTCTCCACCTATTCCCTTACCTGCCACCGCACCCAGCCGCATTTTTCAGTTTTATGAAAACACTTAAGACTTAACTAGAAAATTGGCTCTGAGTTATGTATGTATTGGTTGGCTCTGCATTGAAGCTTTCACATAGTAAATCGTGAGTAAACAGGATGTTATTTGCACAGAGAAAGGGGTCAACGGAAGTAGAACTTTGTTAGGGATATTACCATAACAGATCGCAAAGTGAGCTTCCTGAAGTCTTAAGATCATAAAGCACACTCACGTGTAAAGAATAAAGTGGAAATTCTCATTTAATCAAAAACCCTCCTTTGGCACATCTACTCCTGTGTAGTGCACAGATTAGGGCCCTCAACATCATTTAGGAGCTTGTTAGAAAGGCAGAATCTCAGATCCTAACCCTGAACTATCAAGTAGGAATGTATATTTTCACAAGATTCCAGGTAATTCATAAGCACATTCAAGTTTGGGAAGCACTGAACACTGCCCGGCCAGCACTTAGTTTGATTTATTGTTGATAAAAATAACCAGCAAAACAAAAATGTATTACCTCTGCACAAGAAGCTGGGAAAACATTTCCATAATACTCTCCCTGTCAGATTAGCTTATCTCAAACACAGTTCTAATCATGACATTCAAAACCTTCAATGACTTCACCTATCAAAAAAAAAAAAAAAATCTAAAGCCCTCAGTATGACAGTCAAGCTCCTCCAGTATCTGGCAATAATCCCCTTTCCAATTCCACCTTAGCCCCTTCACACGCCCAATGTCTGTTTCTCAAAGTGTCAAGAGCAGGTCACCTGCAACAACAGGACCACCTGAGGCCCCACCCTTGACCTTCTGAATCATGCTCTCTGGGAGACAGAACTGGGATGGAGCAATCTTAATCACTCTCCCAGGTGATTCTTGGGAAACAACTGCTTATGCTTTAAGACTGTCTCATCCTTGGTCAAATTTCTCAGTGTAACCACACAGAAGGGGTCACTCCATCCTTAGTGTGAACATGGGCCTATATGTGGCTCTGTTGTTGTCCACCTCACACAGTATTGCAATTACATGTTTCCATGCCTGTTTCCTCTTTCAGTACCTAAATGTAGGAGATGCATGCTATGTATCTCTGTATCTCCAACACCTAGCACATCCTTGACAGAGTAGGTGTTCAATAGTTGCTGATTTACTATAGCATTACTTATACTAAGTAAAAAAAAAAAACTTTTGAAGCAACCTAAAACTCTATCCTTTGGAATCTACCTAAATTAATTACAGTACAACCATCCAGTGGAATATGCATTCATTAAAAATGACATTGATTATTTATTGATTGGAAGGATACCCAGGATATATAGATACACATATATATGCGTGCATATATATATGCATATATGTATATATACACATATATATGCGTGCATATATATATGCATATATGTATATATACACATATATAGCAAATATATATATACATATATACATATATATGTGTATATATGTATATATACATACGTATACATATATACGTACATATGCATATATACGTATATGTGTGTGTGTATATATATATATATATATAGCAAAAAAATAAAAAAGCCAATTGCAGCATAAGTCTATAATGATCCTGGAGAATATACACCAAAATGTTAACGGTGGTTATCTCTGGGTGGTAGGTTTATGAATAACATTTATTCTCTTCTTTATTTCTTAATTTGAATTTTGTATAATAAGCATGTATATCTTTTTTACATTTTAAAGCTTTTCCCATTTTAAATGCTTAGGGAATAAATGCTGTTACAGTAAATGATGGCTTCATTTATTCTCCTTCCAAGGACAGGGATTTCCAAAGGTTGGCAGTGATCCAAAGGTTGGTGTTGCTGCTAAGAGGGAGAAGAAGAAAGTAGGAAATGGGTTGTCCTTAGCAACTGGCTCTCACAACTGTTCCTCCTACTGTCTGGGATTCATACGAATATTTAAATAGCCTTAAATATCTTATCTCATAACACTTTTCTAATAAGAACTGTGGCTTCCAGTGGAAATGATATAGCTCAATTTTGACAATACCAATTAGTTTCAGCATAAAGAAACTATCTGTTGTCAATTTTTTCAGTTGTGAAAATCAGCTTCCAAACTCATTTCACCTTCCCTGTTGGCTCTTCTCTCACCTTTCAAAGTGTTCACTGTCCAAGATGAATTTATTAAATACTGTCTTATTCTATTTAGCATGATACCAAAGCTGCGTATGCAAGCTGATGTCAATGACCTTCTCTTACTATCACCAAATTGGGGCACTGCTTCTGCTATAAGAAAGATGAATGGGGAGGTGGAGGGATATCTCTAGTCTTTTTTCTTATACTATATAAGAAACCTACAAGCAACTTTCATTTCAATTAATATTTTACATGAACTCAAGATAGCTTAAAGAAAAATAAATTAAAATTAAAATCACACCAACCACAGGAAGAACATGTCAATTTATTGGTATTTATTTCCTTAATTTTAACATTTAGCCTAAAACACAAACAAAACTAAGATTTGCAAGAAAAAAAAACTGAAATAAATTTGCTAGCCATGCTAGGATTTTATTATAGTTTGGATCAACTTTGAATGCTTTAAATATATATTATGCTTGAATATCAACAGAAAAAATGTGTGTTGGTGTAGCCTAAAAACTTGAACATATTTGCTTCTTGGGTTCTTCTAAAATGTCCTTACTCTATGAAAACCTGAAGTAAATCGGAGAAAAAAGTTTAAAATGTTTGACAGAATATTAAAACTCAGTGTAAGCAGAAGTATAGGAAGAGCTTTTAAAGCCTGTTTTTTTTTGGTTAAAGCAGCTCAAAATCATATCTCCAAAAGAGCAGAGTTTGAGTACAACTTATTTCCCTCTAGGCTAGAAAACCATGGCTGTTCATTTAACAAGTTTAAGGAGTATAGCTAGTGTCATAAACCCCAAACATGTAGCAGAAATGCAACCTATGCATCCAAATGACATAGGACAGTGAAAGGGGCCCTACACTGGGAGACAGGAGACAGAAAATTTCTTCCCTTTTGTTCTGCAATGGCCACATGACTCACTAGTCACTATGCTTCTCGGAATTTCTCACTTCCTCATCTGTAAAAACAAGCCCGGGGCTAGATGATGTCTAGGTTGTTTCCAGATCAAAAATTTTTAAAGCTCTAATTCTACACATTCACTTTACACATATACAAAACTGAAAACATTCTATTTTTATGATCTAAAAAAACTGCAAATAAAAGAACTGCATTTTAGCAAATTTTTCCACTGACATTTTGAAAAAGGAAATAAGATTTAGCCTTATCATTTTAATATAATTAATTTACTTTTCAATACTAGTATCATATAATCCTTTATTACTCATTAGCATTTAATAATCATATCTTTTATTTCTAATTCCAATATTAGAAAGAAATTTGTCTTCCTTAATTATGGAATCAGCAGGAATCATGAGATATGCTAACAGCAGAAAAACATCTGAAATATAAAAATTAGTTTTGTCTTTCAAAAAATAATTGAAGACAGAAATTTCTATTTCCTGAAGTATTGTATTCCAATATGCAAGATAGTTCAGTAATAAAAACTAATATTCACTTAGTCTTATGTATAGAGCACTTTAACATGCATGATGTCACTAAATCTTTATGACTCTATGAGGAAGTATTGTAATTATCCTCACTCTATAGTTGAGGAAACTGAGGTCTCCTGACATTAAGTGATTGTCCAGGATCATAAAGCTAGAAAGCCCCAGCTCCATGACTCAACCTCTGACCTTTTCTCTCAATTTCTTGCTCTCTCTCCATGCTGTTCTGCCAGTTCATAAGCCCTTAATGTTTCTAATGAAGCCCACTTTCACCTAATTTAATGTAGACGGTTGCTCATAAACACCATAACAATTAACTGGGAACAAATATTTGAAACACATATGGCAGAAAGGGTTAATTACCTATCTTTAACATATGAGGAATCTTTACAAATTAAAAAAAAGAAAAGAAAAAGACCAACAATTCAATGAAGTTAGGTGAGAAATACAACCAGAGAGTTTACACACAAAAAAAATTATTGCTAATAGCTTTGAAACACTTGGGGGGAAAATGCTCAATCTCAATTAAATGACCGCTAGTAAAAATAAGATTTTTTCCTTTTTTTTTTTCAGACAGTGTCTCACTGTCGCCCAGGCTAGAGTCCAGTGGCACAATCACAGCTCACTGCAGCTTCAACCTTCCAGGCTCAAACAATCCCCCTACTTCAGCCTCCCAAGTACCTGGGACCAGAGCCACACACCACCGCACTTAATTTTTGGTAGAGACAGGGTCTCACTATGTTGCCCAGGCTGGTCTCGAACTCCTGAGCTCAAGTGATCCTCAGCCTCCCAAAGTGCTGGAATTACAGGCATGAGCAACTGAGCCAGGCCTTTTCCCTATCTTATTAACAAAACTTTTTAAATTGTTCATGTGCTTGTACATAGAGTATGAAATAATAGACACTGGAGACTCGGAATGGTGGGAGGGAATGAGGCATGAGAAATTACTTAATGGGTACAAAGTATGGGTGATGGCTACACTAAAAGCCCAGATTTCACGATTACCAATATATTCATGTAACATAACTGTGCTTGTACCTCTGAAATTTATACAAATCAACAATATTTTAAAATAAGATCAAAATTTTTCATATACCGAATTGACCATGGTATAGGAAAAAGTTACTCTCATATACCATCAGTGGGGAGTGCATGTGTTAAAAGTTTTTTGAGGGCGATTTTACAATATTTAGCAGAACTAAACACAGCCTTAAACACAGCAATTCCTCTCCTTGGAATTTGTTATTTATTTTATTTATGTGAGCAAAGAAAAAAATGATCATCTTGTAAAAGATGTTCCTAAGAGCATCAGCTATTACAGCAAAATACTGAAGACAACTCAAATGTCTCCCCTCCCTCAGAATTAACTGAATTTGGGGTACTTCATACAATAAAACACTACACTCCAATGTAAAACAGTATGCTTTTTTTAAAAAGCAGAATATATTGTAGTTTACTCCTCATTTGCCTATGAAAAATATACATGGAGATCACACCCAAAGATCTGAGATGGTATATGCTTAATAAAATATGTCTGGAAAGATACGCAAGAAATTCCCCTTTAGAGAATGGAACTAAGGATGCAGGTCTCTAGGGAATTACATTTAAGTTATTTTAAAATGTAATATTGTTTGAAGTGTTTAATTCTTTGCATGGCTATACTCAACTTGGTTGATGTGAGGAGCCAATTAGATAAAATAATGTATGTTAAAGCAGCTTGCAAACTGAAGAGAATAACAGAATATAAAAACCTAAGGCTTCCTGGATATTGCTTTATCACTAGCATTTCGGGAAGACTTTTGATTGATCCAGCACCTACTGCCCCGAGCTAAACCCAGTAAGCATAATTCCTCAAAAGAAAACTTTATGATGGATTGAAGAATTCTCTATCAAAATGCAAATATCCACCCAAGAGCTAAGACCTTTAAATGGTGCTTTTCAAACTTCATCAAATAGCCCTTAGTGTCAAAGACACTGAGCTTGTTCCCCCAGGGACCTAGAAAGTAGATCGAAAGGCCCTCACATTTTTAATATGTCCATACTCTTTCTGATAATTTTTTTTTCCACAAACCTTCAAATAAACTGACAATCTGATAATTTTTTTTTCCACAAACCTTCAAATAAACTGACAATCCAGGGAGATGCACTAGGTTTATTTTGAGGCCTTGCCCCCAGGAACTGGGATGCACCTATTTGAAGAATTTTACTTTTTTTTTTTTTTTTTTTTTTTTTTTTTTTTTTTTTTTTTGAGACAGAGTCTCATTCTGTTGCCCAGGCTGGAGTGCAATGGTGTGACCTCGGCTCACTGCAACCTCCACCTCCCGGGTTCAAGCAATTCTCCTGCCTCAGCCTCCTGAGTAACTGGGACTACAGGCACGTACCACCACACCCAGCTAATTTTTGTATTTTTAGTAGAGACAAGGTTTCACCATATTGGTCAAGCTGGTCTTGAACTCCTAACCTCAAGTGATCCGCCCGCCTCAGCCTCCCAAAATGCTGGGATTACAGGCGTGAGCCACTGCTCCCAGCTAGGAATTTTACTTTAAAGGATATGTGTTGGCATCTTAGCAGAGGACATTTTAAATATGGGATGAAAGCTATGGAGAAAAAAAGGAAGTTAAAAAGAACTGGAATCAGATACTCTGTGATTTAATCTTCAAATTCACCATTCTTTCAACAAGTTACTGAACTCCTACTATGGCCATAGTCTCTTTCCCTCATGAAGCTATAGTTTTAGTTCTAATGGATACTGTACAAGTGCCCTCTAAAGAGGTTTTTAGCCAATGCATGCATTCCCCACTGATGATGCAGGAGAATATGTCTTCCTCCACACCGTGGTCAATTCAGCACATGGCCAAAATTTTTGTCTATTTAGAGGAGCAGGGTGGAAGCACATGTCAAGCCCTGAATCAAATATAATTAGATAGCGAAACAAAGGATGTCTTGGACATGAAGTTAGAAAGATGGTCAGAGAAGGCCTATCTGAGGGAAAAATGTTTGAGCTGAAACCCAAACTGCGGGAAAGTGTGATGGTTAATTTTTGTGTCAACTTGACGGGACCTTGCATGGGATGTCCAGATTAAACATCGTTTCTGGGTGTGTTTGTGAGGGTTTCCGGATGAGATTAGCATTGGAATCAGTGGACTCGGTAAAACATATTGCCCTCCCCACTGTGGGCATCAGCCAATCCATTTTGAATAGAACAAAACATGGAAGAAAGAGGAATTTGTCCCCCCTTCTCTGTTTCTTGTCTCACCACTTGAGCTGGGAAATCTCATTTCATCTTCCCTTGCCTTCAGACTGGGATTCACACCATCAGTTCCTCTGGCTCTCAGCCTTCGGACTCAGACTGAATTACACCACCAGCTGTCTTGGGTCTCCAGCTTGTAGATGGCACATTGTGGTCTCCATATTTGCATATGCTAATTCTCCATAATAAAATCTCCTTAAAAATATAAAAAACCAATTGATTATCTTTCTATGGAGAACCCTGACTAATTCAGAAAGGGTTAGCCATGCAAAAATGAGAACGAATGTTCCAGAGCAAAAGTCTGAGGTAGTATATACTGGGTACATTCGCGGGACAGGAAGGTAGCCACTGTGGCTGGAGCATGAGAACCTGGGGACAAGGGGTAGATGATGAGTTTACAGAGGCAGGAGCCAAACCACGTCAGGCCTTATAGGCCAAATAAGAAGGTGACATTTATTTTTATTGCAATGGGAAGCTGTTGGAGGGCTTTAAGCAAGGGAACAATACAGTCTCAATTTTTTTTTTTTAGGAAATCATTCTGTTTGCTATGCAGGCAGTGATCTGTGGAAAGCAACACAAGAAGCAGGGAATTAATCAGGAGGTAACTGAAAGAATCCAGATAAGAGATGATGGTGATTTAAATTGTGGATTTAATAGTAGTGATAGAGGGTTCCGATTTCAGGATGTATTTTAGAATTGTGGGATTGCTGCTAATTTGCATATGGGGAATGAAGGGAAAAAAGGATTGGTGAATGAACCTCAAATTTTCAGAGTGAGCTATCTATCTGGTGGATAGTGATAGAATTTGCTAAGGAGAGGGGCCATGAAGAGTTTTGTTGAGAACATCGTGTCTGAGATTCCTGGCTGACAGCCAAAATCACTTTCCACTTCTTCCTTAGTAACCAATCCCCATTTTTATTCCAGCTAAAAGACTACATTTCCCAGCCTCCTTCTGTTGCTACGTGAGGTTATATTGCTAAATTCTAGCCAATAAGAAACAAAATGGAAGTATTGTACAGGACTTCTAGGACAACTAAAAGAGAGAGAACTCAACTGGGAGCTAAACTTTTTGCCCTATGCCCCATCTTTCTTCCAGCTGTCTGGAATGAGGAAGATGGCTTGGAGCTCCAACATCCACTTTGAGGATAGAACTCGTGCTGAGAATGGCAGATTGAAGAGTTTAAATGGAGCCTAAGTTGCTGGTCATTTCAGGAAGCAGATGTACCGGTGCTAGACCGTCTATCTCTGGACTTCTTTTAAGTGGAATAAATTACTGTGTGTTTACAGTTATTTTGAGTCCTGACACAAAGATAGATTGATATATCTATTAAATATCCCAGTTAGGTAGAACCCCCATTTTAAATATGAAAAAATTAGTGTCAGAGAAGTTACTTGCCAAAGTCAAACAACTTAAGATAGAGACAAGATTTGAACTAATAGCAGTCTAACTCCAAAGTTCGTGTTTTGTTCTCATATGATACCATTCTGTACTTAAAACAAAGAGAAGAAAAAAGGCACCAGAGCCAAATGTTCCCAGTAGCAAAATCCTATCTAGGACAAGTTCTGCACATGATACCCAAAATAGTCCTACTCAACTTGATATAAGGAAGAATTATCTCCTATCTAAAAGTGTTACTATTTATATCATGTGAGTATCACTTCCTTTACCCTTTTCTAAAGGCAATACATTTTTTACTGTATTCACCTATCAATTCAGCCCTAGGTTTATTTCCATTGTATTAAAATACTACTTATATGTATAGTTGCTCTTGCAACTAAATATATGCTGAACTTCATTCTGAAGTCCTCTTGTCATACTCCTTTGGCAAGTATAATACATACTCCAACCCTGAGTCAGGACCTTCCCTTACATGACCCATTAATTATGCACCCTGTAGGAAAATAATAAGTTTTCCACAGCTGCCAACACTGATGTATCCAACTAGTACTTTATTGTAACAATCATTTCACAGTTTATTGATGATTATTATCCCACGAGGCAGAGAAACAAATACTTTGTACAGTAAAAACTTCGTGTGTCTATAACTTCTTCCTCAGTCTACCAGGTCTATCTCCCATACAACAGAGAAAATCTGATTAGTAAGGCAAGTCTTATTTTTTATATGGTCAGGCTGACAATAGGTTTAAACTTTAGGTGTTCCTAAGTAATCAAAAGGAAGGATTTTTTCCTTTTACTTTTTCATTTAAATATAATTACATACTGTGAAGTACATAGATCTTAAATGAACAGCTTGATAAAATTTTACAAAATGAGCACAACTGTGTAGCCACCACCCAACTCAAGATATAGAACATCTGCAATGTCTAGAATCCTCTCTCAAGCTCTGTCCCGTCATCACCTACTCCCCCATCAAGTTAACCATTATCCTGACTTCTGATTCCACAGATTGATTTCACCTGTTTTTGAACCTGATGTAAATGGAATAGTGCAACATATAATCTCTCACTTAACATTATGTCTGTAAAATACGTCCATAATGTTGCAGGTAGCCATAGTTTATTATTTTTAACTAGTGCATAGTATTCCACTTATCCATTCTGTTGTTAAAGGATATTTAGATTATTTGAAGTTTTATATTTGCTATACCTTATAAGTATACATATAGTATATATTTGCAGTTTTATATTTACTGTACATAATGCTGCTTTTAACAGTCTTACCAAATACTTTTAGTGCATAAAGGAAAGTTTTTTACTTAGAATTTTTTATTCTTGTTTTTATTTTATTTGTGGTATGCAGACTATGTTGCCTATACATTTGGGAGTAATACATCCAAAGTAAGTATGCATACTTTGGCTAAAATATATTACACATAATTCAGTGCTCAACAAAACTCCCTTGAGTGCTTTAGCATTGTTGGGAAAATAATGAAAAGAAAAGAAAGAAGGAAAAGAGACTATTGTGAAGGATAAAAAATGTTTAGAAAACAGGTAATAGAAAGTATAAAATAAAGAGAAGCATCAAGTGTCAAGTCCTTCCCATAAATTTTTAAATTCCCATTAAATTAGATGAACACAGTTTGGCCTTTAGGTTGTGCTATCTCCTAATGCTAATATATTTCCTCAAGATGCACCCATAGGGTTGCATGCCTTTTTTTGCTTATCTTTGGCATGTACCTTAACTTCTTGGAACATGCTGGGGCTCCCTGGTGATACAGTGATTACATGTAATAGATAAAGTTGCCCTTTAATATTCCACACCAAATTAGGATTCCCAATAACTGGAAGCCTTGGCTCCTCCCCCTCCACTGCCCTGAGGAACTATAGGTTAACAATTTTTAAAATGTTTTAAATATTTATAATTTGGGGTGGGGGGTGAGGTGCCTCATCTCTTACCTTTCCCAACCCACTCTCATTCATTTATTCAAAACCATCATCTTGTTTCCTAATGTATACGAGGTTCTATGTTAGGTGCCTGCCTGAGAGGTGAGAAAACATATAAATACAAAATATTTACAGATTAAATAACAAGTATCTAAGATTTGCTTCCAGATAATAAGGAGAGTAAGAGGATGGGGCAGAATGGGGCAGAATTGGCCATGAGTTGATGGATTGATTGTTGGAGCTGGGTGATGAATGCTTGCAGGTTCATATTACTGATCTGTCTGCTTTTGTGTGTGGTCAAAGTTATCTATAATAAAAAGTTTTTTAAAACACACACCAAAAAGCTGCATAAGAACATACAGACTAATAAAAGCACTAAAACATGCATTCAAACAGCATACTGAAGTTTAAAGGGGCCATAGCAGTTATAAATCCCAATCTTAGCATGATAACTCTGAGGCCTAGAGGTTAAGTGAGTTGCCAAGGTCACATGGGCAGTAGCAGAGGGGATACTAAAAACTAGCTCACACACACACACACACAGAGCACTGTTCCTTCTTCCAGACAGACTGCTCCAATACAGAGCAGTATATGGCAAAAACCATGAAGCTAGTCCAAACTAGATGCCTAAGAATTCAAAAGAAACACCACCTGGGCCTGAAAACCATGGGCTCTTTCACAAACTATGCTCTGCTCACAAAACTAAGAGGGCTGTCCCCCTATAACAGAGATAAAAATCTGATTAGTGAAGCAGGAATTTTACATTAATTTGCAAGATTGTTTGGTTAACCTCTGTTTCTCCCAAAGTCGCACACTTGCCTCGCAAGGTGCTGAAACCGTCACATATTAGCAACAGAAACACTAGCAGCTGATTACCCCTTCACTTGTCAGTTAGATAAGAAAAGTGAGCATATACTACATGCCAAGAACTGTGTTAGGAGTAGGAGATACTACAGAGATGAGCACAGTGCCTGCCCTCAGGGAGCTCACAGGCTGGCAGAGAATTTTTTAACAATTCTGAAGGAGAACCACAGAGTCCCCTAGCAACCTAAATTCCCTACAGCTCTAAATTCACATTGACTAACCTTTAAAAGGTACATTTCTGCACATTTAGACATTTTCAGATGGGCATAATTTTAAAGCAATAAACCAGCATAAGGTATGGTTTTATTCTAACTAGCAAATTGTCAGGCACTAATAAAGGTAAGGCAACTGCCTAAAAGAAGACAAAAACTGTCATGCATTGGTAAATGTTTGCTTTTGACCATGATGACTTTATTCTGAACATCTGTCCAGGTGATTCTTCCCATAATGGAGCTTTATAAAGAACCTTCAGTGAGATTTCATCTCTTTAAAAAACAAAAAACTATAAATATTCCACTTTTCTCCTATACATAATGTTGTTCATTCTAGACTCTAGATGTGCTAGATAAAATCCTAACGAAGCATCTTCTCATTTCTTTTGGAGTAGATTGCCTTTTTCCTTATAGTCCAGGAAAGGAAATTCATTTTTTCTTATGTTTTCCATTGTGTCTTAGAACACCTGAAGACAAGTAAAACAATAAAATTACTTAAAAAGTAAAAAAGCAGTTATCAAAATTAACTCTTTCAGATCATCTCATTTTTACTTTTCACATAAAAATAGATGTCACCTCTGGTCAGCCTAAAAAAATCACAGAAGTAATATAGTCTGTACTCAGAACATTCAAACATATTTCTAAAAATTTCACTGTTGGGGAAATGTAGCAAGTTATAGTGGTTTACCCAAAGTCCTTCGGCTGCCTCTATGAGGAAAAAAATAGAAGAGAAAAAGAGAGAGAGGGAAAAAAAATCTAATTTCATAATCATTAGATCACTGCTCTGCTCATACATAAGCACTGCCAAAAGTGATTTATAATATTAAAAAATGCTATTGATCTGGACATTCATAATTTTATGTAGCTTTTATTTCTAAGGTTGGGCAATAATTCTCTACCTCATTATAAAACATTTATCCATTCCCACATTCAAATCCCCTGAGCTTTTATGCATTCTAATTCATTGCTAGGCTAGCAGTATGTGAAAACAAAATTGTTTCGAAAGAAATATAATCGTTCCAAGTTAGCACACTGGCAAGCTTTTATTTTTCTCTTTTGGACATTAAATACTAATTACCTTCACATTCATGATATTACTAAATACCTTGTTTCAGCCACTCTATCTTAATCAAACTGCAGAATTTAGTGGGATTAAAAATGGCTTCCAAAGACCTTAGGCAGAAAGATAAAGGCTAGCCCTCCAACAAGTTGAATATGAGTTTTGGCAAGGAGATTTATCCATAACCAGAAAGGGTTGTTTGGAACAATTGGAAAGGAAGACTATCTGAATTTGCACAGCCCTTTATCCTGACCAAAATAATTGAACATTTAAAATTAGAAATTTACAGCCTCACAAATTAAAGAGACAACCCAAATCTATTAAATTTTCCTCAGGGTTTTGTCCAAAGCATAAAGAAATCATAACATCCTAGAAGTCTACATATACCATAATGCCTTTTTAATCAATCAACTCTTTGTCTTAAGGCCAAAAAAAATCCATTTTTTATCATCAAATTCCAGAACCAGCAAGCACAAGTTAGTTACAGCACTACTGTAATTACAGCTTCAGACCAGCTCTGATACACAACAGAAATTGAATGTTTGTAAGGACAGATAAGCATTTTAGGCATTTGTGTTCTCTTTTATTTGCACTCCTTGCCAACTTCAAGCCCAAATTAGAAATTCCAAATCCTTTGAACCTGAAAATTATTAGATTTGATGGTCAGATATCTATGTATTATTAAGTAATAAGGCTCTCTGGGACCAAGAAGATAGCTTTATACAAAACCTGGTTATTAATCAGAAGACTAAGGCAATCTCAAAGGCAGCCTTAAGCCAATCTCAAACTGCCTCCAGCAGTCAAGCAGGTAAATAACTGCTTGGGCTGGGTGTGAGCACATGAAGTCATGGAAGGAACTGCAGAAGGAAGCTGTGCCCCAGCGGGAGGAAGACAACTGCCCCTCAGCTCCAGCCAGTTATTCCCATGTCTTCTGATTTCTCAAGACAATGCAGAAATGCAGATCCATATGTGAAATCTTCCTATTAAAATGTTGGCACAAACATTGTAAAAGCACTGCATGGGCCAAATAAAACATGTCTGTGGGCAGGCTTCAGCCAGCTGGCTGCCAGTTTGAGAGCTCAGGGAAACTATGGAAAAAGAACAGAGTAAAATATTTCCTTGACTCTCCCTCCCCCAACCTGATAATGCACAATCTTGGAGACCACTGTGAGAGCCTAGTCAAACGAGGGTGAAAAAATGGTGTGGAAACTTCAATTTGATCCTAAGGTAGACACTACTTTTCTATTATACTTTGTTCAATGAACTTTGTATACACACACACACATGCACACACACACAGTTTTCCACAGATCCAGGATCACAGATAATTTCTGGAGCACTTTCATCCCCCATTGACTTGAGGAATATCTTGCTTATGTATCCTAGAAAATGGAAATCCATTTAAAATGCATTCATATTCCAAAAGATAGGCTGACTTTAATCACAGTTGACCTTGCTCTTAACAAAAAGCAAAATGTACATAGCATTTTGTTCTTGGGGAAGCAAATTGTTCTTGGGGATATGAAGTAACCAATTCAAAGTCCAGTAAGCTCATTTTCAGTAACAAGTCAAATGCTTGCTGCTACCAGGCCACCCTTGCTTTGTTCATTATTCAATCTGTGATGTGGTACAAGCAAAGTGTGATAACTAAAGAAAAATAAACAGAATGTCCAAACTTCTGATCTAAGCACAGCTCTAATCATGGAGAATGTTATTTCTCATTGTCTGTTTGCAGGACAAGGCAACATAGTACAGAGGGAAATAAAAGTTTTGCATCTCAACAAAAGAATAAAGTTCTCTATGCAAACATTTTAATAACATAGATACCATTTTATTGCATTCCCAGAAATATAGCCTCCTTTCATCTTTGTTACCATATACATAGGCATATTTCACAGGCTTGTTATATTTCCCAACTATTTACCCACTGTCTCTAACTAACACACACTAGGAATTGGTTTAATCAATGGTTCTTAACTGTTGAGAACCTGATAAAAGTGTAGGACCTACTTACTCCTGAAAAATGGCTTTGATTTACTACATTTGCACACAATTTTAAGAGGTTTGAGGACCCCCTGAAAAAGTACATCCAAAGGCCCTCATTTGAGAACTCTGTTACAAAACTACGGTAATTTCATTTTTATTTCATTTATTCTAACCTCCCAAAACATTTATTTTAGGATTTGCTCTAAGAAATTAAGGCAGTGGACTTGCGTTCATTTCCTTTCTTTTTGACATATATTTAAGCAATTGTTTATATTTTAGAATTACCATCATTTTAAACCAGTCAGGCCTGGGCAGATCATTAGGCTACTAATTGGCTAAGAATAGTTTACCATTCACTTGGTAAAATATATTATTTCTTTTTATTTCTGGACCATAAGTGCTTTTTCCTTTCCATCATTAGGTTATTACAAATGTTAAGATGATGCGGAAAAGTGGCACACTATGAGAGTATCACTTCCAGGAGATATTTCCCACAACTATCCTATACTATGGGCCAATATTTTACATTTCACAAATTTTTTTAATGGTATAATTAACTTTAAAAGCCCTTATAAACACAGGCCCCTCATGTTGCTTCCTTTATCACTAATGTTCTGCTGTCTCCCACTTGAACTTTCATTTATTTTCCCAGGCATTCCTCTCATAAAAAAGAGAAAGGATCTAAGGCATTTTCTCCATATTACCTAATGACTCATCAGCAATTATAAAATATTTTAGAGAACCACCTTAGTGGATGTCATCAGAGATGCCAGGATATGTCTATCAGGAAATGCAAAATACCGTTTCCACATAAAGGTTTTGATGTTATTACATTCTCTTTCTGTAACTGAATTTCTTTGCTGAAATTTGGTTAGGCCTGACCTCTGTTTACAAACAAGGGATCATCTATTGAACCTCACATAAAGAATAAGATGATGCACACATCATATCTGAAAAACAAAAATGTCAACCTTGAAAAGTGGCCTATGCTGGCATCAGTATTGTACATGGGATTTTGCTGCCTTAGAGCTTTACGCTCATCTAAATGCCTATAAATAAAATCTATAGCATAACCTATTTTTAAAAATTAATACCACCAACAGGCTGTATGCAGCTCAGTTGAATTTATTTGTAAATGGATTTTGATATGCAAGACTTGATGATGTTAGAATTCAGCTGAAATAAAATATCTGAACAACCTCAAATCTAACAGCTCAGCACTTTAGATTCACTGACAAAGAAGGCAAGTGTAGTATTAAAATGAAGAACTCACTTCTACCAAAAATAGCCCCCTCCAAAAACAATCCTGCAATAATCTTAATGAACAGGCTATTATGCAACTGGACCCTGGAAAAAAAACAAGGTAGTATAAGATGTCCTATCTTCAAGGAGTTTACCATCCAGTTGCCATCTCTGGAAATTCAATCTGTTCTTTAAATTTCAAAAAAAAAATGTTCTCTAAGAATACAAAGTTTCTTAAAATTGGGAGGTCAAAATATTATGAGGGGAAAAATGTAGGAAATCTAACTGACCTATCAAGTTTTACATAAAATAAAATGCATCCCTGTATATTTCAGATTAGATTCCGGGATCCCCTCCTCCAAAAGACCTTCCAAATGCTTCTTTTCTAAGAAGCTCGTTACCAGCCCCTCTTCTGGGCCAATATTTTCCACAAAACACTGTGGGATTCTCTATTATTTCACTTATCACGTTTGTGTTATAGTAATATTCCTAGCTCCATCTCCTGCAGAGGCAGGCACAATACCCAATGCTCAGAAACGTTTGTTGAATCAGTGAGTAACTCCCCTCAATGTGCTTAACCATACTTCTTAGATACAAATGTAAATTTCATCTACAAAAATGTTTTTATAGTTAGTGCCTATTCGTGTTCATGGAAATCTTTTTTCTCTGGGAGTCCAAGTTTTGGGGAAATTCTGAGTTATCTATGACTGTAGCAGTGTTATATAGTCAGACAGCACAGAGGAATGTTAAAAGAACTGCATTTCAATTCCAGGCTCAGCCAAACATTTACTCTCCCTGTGTCTACTTTCCTTATCTGAACAATAGGGACTGCAATACCAGCCTGTCTCACACATCTGCTGGGAACAAGAACTAATAAAATGTATCAACTATCTAGAAAATATGTAAATGACTTGGAAATTTTATCACAATAGAGACAAAACAAATGGTAGCAGTTCTACGGTTTTTTTTTTTAAGCCTAATGCATCCTTGGAAACCATGACAGTAAAGCAAACCATATTTCCCTGAGGAAATAACAGGAAGATTGGGTGTTATGTCGGGAGCAAAGAGTAGATATCAAATAAATATGACTTCTGTAGTAATTATTTAGCTTTTTATACTGAAGTATATCACACACACAGCAAAGTACACAAAATATAAAGGAAGCTCAATGCGGTCTTTTTAAAAGCGAGTGCACCTTACTAGCCATCAACCAGGTCAACAAATAGATCATTTTGAGTACCCTAGATGTTCCTTCCTGCCTTTCCCAATCACTACCCTCTTCCTCCTTTCAAAAGCAACAAATGTCCTAAATTCCTAACTGTATTATAATTTCCTGACTGTCCTTATCCCATCTATAGTTTAGTTATATCTATTTTTGAACTTTACATAAATACATTAATACAGTATTTTTTTTTGAGATGGAGTGTCCCTCTGTCACCCAAACTGGAGTACAGTGGTGTGATCTTGGCTCACTGCAACTTCCACCTCCTGGGTTCAAGTGATCCTCCTGCCTCAGCCTCCCGAGCAGCTGGGACTACAGGTGCACACCACCACACCCAGCTAGTTTTTGTATTTTTAGTGGAGATGGGGTTTCACCATGTTGGCCAGGCTGGTCTCAAAATCCTGACCTCAAATGATCCGCCCACCTCGGCCTCCTAAAGTGCTGGGATTACAGTCATGAACCATTGCTCCTGGCCTGAGTATATGTATTATTTTGCATCTGGTTTCTTTCATTCAGTATTATGGCTGTGAGATTTATCCATGTTGTTGAACATGGCTATAGTTCACTCATTTTCATCACTGCATAGTATTTCATTATGTAAACTATTAGTTATCTATCCTACTATTAAAGAACATTTTGGTTGTTTTGACTATTATAAAGTTAAATAGATAAAATTACACTGCAAACCCTAGAAAACAAGCATAAAATATACTATATGCTATCAATGCATAAGAAACCTTAGTGTACCATATGCAAATTGAATCCCAACAAAAAATTATGCTACATAACACAAAAGTCTATTAAATCATAAACAATCTAAATCTAAAACACCTGTGTATCAAACTTAATATTTAATTTGTGCTTTTTCACCTTTTAAAATTTCAAATAAAGTGTTTATTTGCTTACTTTTAAATAGTTTGGAGGACTTGGGCTTCTTTTTAAAGAAATCTATCAAGGTTAGTGTAAACAGATAATTTAATTTTCTGTCAGTATATTTTCCTGCAATAAGCAGTAAATTTTAAAAAATCATTTCATTATAAAAAACAAATTTTAACAACGGCTATCTCTGGATGATGAGATTATTAATTATTTTTATTTTCTTTTTGTTTATCTACATATTCCAAAGCTTCTAAACTATATTATAATTTTTAAAGTTACTTTTTTCTATAACGAAGATAATTTCATCAGCCTTCAAATTGCAATATTCAAAAATAATCTAAAGAAAATAGAATTTATATCAGTAAGTTGATGTTAAAAAAGTGGGAAAATTTGAAATACCAGAAAGGACTTGTGACTGCATATTTACTATGGAAATGTGACTACACGCCATTGAGATTTGAATCCGTCATTATTTTGACAAGTAGCCATTTCCCAGAGCAAGTGCTATAAAATGAAAAACTTATAAGTAAAATTTCATAAGGTTGCTTTGAAATTACATTTTTGTTAAAGAACCATTCTAAATACTATTGATAATATTGCGTTACTAAAGTCAACATCAACAAGTACTAAAAAATATTTCCTTTAAGAAGAAAAGCTATCAGTGAACAGCTGAGTGTGGAGATGAAATGAACTACACTGGGTTTCCAACAAAAAATAAGCAAACAAACAAGTAGCAATGCTGAGCCTTGTCCGAAATATTTTGCATCGCAATTTAAGCTCAGATTGTGGTGTGCCAAAAATCTGGCAAAGATTGAGACACCAATGTCAGGACTTTTTTAGGATTTTCCTATTGGAGGAAGGTGGCCTGATATATTGGTGAGGCACAGAGACAATAAAGTCAGACTGGCTGAATCTAAATGTTCTAATCCCCACCCCCAGCTTTGGCTGTATGACATTGTAGACCGTATGGATGCATGCGTTGTGACTCATGAGTCCCAGGGATAGCCACAAATAAGGGTTCTGTTATTTGCATGTGCATAAAACTCAGCCAGATGGATGGGGGTAGCAAAGCCAGCATGCTTGCTACTTTGCAGAAGCCAATTATAGCATGGCTGTGAGCAGCCACAGCCCAGAAGAACCTCTCCCAGCAAGAAAGTTCCCCGCCACAAAGTGTAAGAACCTGCCCAGCACAGCTTGATGACAGTCTCTCTGCAGGGTCCATGCTATTCCTCTACTGGCCACAGGCACTGGACTTCCTGCTGGCTCTGTAACCTATGCAACCACCAGAGAGAAAAAGAGCACTCCGTGCCTGCAGGCTCCCACCTAGAAGCTAAGATGCTGGGGCTTTTTACCCCCACCCTAAAGGAACATGTGTTTGTGATATGTGTATTAATAGAAAGTTTTTTGAATAATGTTATAGTAAACAATTTGTATTGAATACACATAAACATGTTGAATAATTATATTATAAAAATGAGCAATTTAGAAACCTTCCCTATATTAATCTTTTGAAGCCAGTGGAGTGACTATAACATAGTGTGTGGTAAATCTTAGACCCTTGTTAACGCTGACAAACTTTGAACAAGATACTTAATCTCTCTGTGCTTCAGTTATCTCATCAGGAAAATAAGGTAATAGTAATAGTTCTTAGCATGCCATGATGATCAAATAAGATCATAGATGTAAGAACTTTGGATTGTGCTAATGCCTACTAAGAGCCTAATCAATGTGGGTTATTATGCAAATAATTTTACTCAGCCTGTCATCCTGTAGTTATTGTCTTCTTTCCTAGTATAAGAAATCTTTTACTCAAGCTTATCTTACTGGCATTTTAAACAAATAATAATAATATAATTACAATTGTAATCACAAAAATAGCTAATTGAGAATTTATTGTGTACCAAGCCCTTTATAAAACTTACATAATCTAATTCTCTCAATCATCCAATAAAGTGGGTATCATGATCATTGTCATCATTGCCCCCATTCATCAGATGGGAAAAATGAAGCTTAGAGCAGTTCAATAACTTGCCTATGATCACAATCTAGTAAATGGTAGAGCTGAATACAGTCATGGATCTGTGGCACAGCCCTTAACCATTAGGGTACAGTGCCTCCAAGGAAGGGATGCCAATCATATGTTTGGTATAAAACTTATGGTTGGCATTGATGCCTACAGTTTAATGGGGAAAACAGACGGATTACAAATGAGAAAGAGGGAGGACACAGGCAGGCAAAGAGATTCAAGGCCCTAAATGCCTTCCAGACTTAGTATAAAGAAATTAATAGGATAGGTGATTGGTATTGTGCTGATTTGGCTATATTTCATTGAGAGAACTTCCTCTGCTTGCATGGAACAGGAAATTTGCTACCTAAAAGTAAATTAAGGTCACCAGAGGACCTGATGAGCTAAGCAGAAAGCTCTTGGATTAGGCCAGGGGGGAGAAAACTAACAAATTATTTCAGGTCAACTGGCTTTTTAAATTTTACATCTTCCAGCATTGTAAATATTAGTCCGAGTTACTCACAAAAGGTTTGTAATCCAGACTGGAATTTAGTGTCTACAGCAACAAAGTGACAGCACAGCTGAACAAACTAGCCATTCACCAGGAGTCCCAGGAGCTAAGTACCTGCCCCCACTTCTTTCCCACAGAAAGCATGTCCTTGGGTTTATTAGAGAGCCTCCAAGTCCCTTTGTAGAGGGTGTAAAGGGGAAAGCACAGGTGTCCTTGTCAGATAGGTGAGTGTTGCAGTGCTGGTCGTGTTCTTATGGTTGTGTGTTAACCAGAGCAATCAAAGCAAAATTAGAGATTTACTCAAAGCACTCAGGGAGGGGGACACTAAGGAGTGCACCTAACTTAATTTAGGTGGTATTTTGTTATTTTTGTTTTGTATTGTTTGGGGTACGATGTTATTATAAGCCAAGGAATGCCAAGGATTTCCCACAGTCACCAAAACTAGGAGACAGGCATAGAACGAATTCTCCCTCAGAGCCTCCAGAAGGAACCACCCCTTGCTGACACCCTGATTTCAGATTTCTGGCCTCCAAAACCATGAGAAAATGAATTTCCGTTTTAAGCCAACAAGGGTGTGGTAATTTGTTACAGCAGCCCTAGGAAACTAAGGCACTCCCCTCAGTGGATCCAGGTGGGGGTCTGGAATCTGCATTTTACCAAGAACCTCAGGCGTTTCAACACTTGAGAACTTCTGCCTTATCCTATTCCCTCTGGTCTCAGGAGGGCCACACTGCCCCTTCCCTTATGAACCTCATTCTAAGAACAGGCCCCAAAAAATCTAAAGCCAGGGATGTAGGGAAGACTAGGGGTTTCTCTCCAAACAGTACAGGATCTGTTTGGGGTGAAACAGATGTGTCTGCAACTGTACAGGCCCCTCACATCCCTCAGCTAACTCTTCAGGAGTTTAAATTAGGATTCTAAATTCAGGAGTCTAATCAGTCTAGTAATTTAAATGTACCTCTCATTCCTGCTTGAGGGTAAGTATCAAGCCTCTCTGTATGGCATTAGACCCAGGAAGTATCTCTGCCTCTAACACCATCCCAAACACGGAATTTTACACAATACAAAATGTTCACTCTTGCTCATGTAGTTTAATATCCAGAAAAACAGCTCCTCTCCCGAGGTGAGCATCTGAATCACGGATGGTATCAGATATAGTGAATTGGAATGATCAGGGTAAGGGAGTGTGATAAGGAATAGGGGCAGCCTGGTCTCTTTTCCCCCCAGTAGTAAGAATCTCAGCTCTAAGGAAGAGCGTCACTCCTATCTACTCACATCAATTCCACATCCAAGGAGAAGCAGTTCTATTCGAGCTCAAAGGAAAATGTGCATATTCAAGAAATATAATTATACCAAGGCAGCTGGACTTGGAGGTATGGGTAGTAGAATAAAGAGGTTCAAAGTTTTCCACTCTTTGAATAGATGTTCAAAGTTCTCTTCTGTTCAAGCCTGACACTTTTCTCTCTTCCCTTCCCGCTAACAAATATGGTAACACTCTCTGAGGGTAGAGATGCCACATATTTAGAAGGGGTAATGATACTTAGGAGGCCTGTGCAGAGGTTCCCAAATATGCATCAGACTCACCCAGGAAGAATAGTTAAAATGTCCATCTCTAGTCCCTACACCAAGAGATTCTCATTCACTGGGTCTTGGGTGGGTGGGACTCTTAACGCCACAAAAACGAACCATAGGCCTCTAACCTACATTCTATGTTAAAAAGGTCAGTGTGGCTCATGAAGATGTGACTAGATAAGGGTTTGGAGCCTACATGTACCTGAGTGTCCCTTGTACTGTGGTATCAAATAGATTGAAGGTAGTAGGAGACCAGATCAGAATTCACATCAAACACCCTAAAAGCAGCAAAGCTCCCCTTAGCATTTACTCTTATTTCTGCATGCTTTAGTAATTCAAATTCTAGCATGAGTCAATTCTAATCAGTTATTTGTGTAATTCATTTTAGCTAAAGTTCAGTAGAACTGCTAAAACCAGTTAACTCCACGGAGACACAAAACAAAAACTCCATGATGCTTCGTGGCCGCCCAGATACACGGGAATCTTTATTACCCTTCCTGTTTCACAAAGTTTGGTTTCTACCATTTAAGATTTCTGATAAATAACACTTATGGAAAAAAAAAGTATGCTTGAAACCTTTTTACAAAATCAGATAAGAAGCTAGAAGATAATGTTGTGGTTTTCTTTCATGTGATCCCTGAATTACGTAAGAAGTCTTGCCATGAAATTTACCGTTGCAGCATACCTTCTACTATGAGCTGTTGCTGCTGTTTTTACATGACAGATAAAAATTGATGGTGTCAAGAGGTGAGGAGGGATTAAAACCAAACACTAGGATAACATCAAAACTTCTTTCAGTCACATCTGTCCCCATTGTTTTGCTCTCTGCACCAGTGATGGCTCAGCAAAGAAATTACTTTTACATATCTGTTCTCTTTAATCACTGTACCACCCGTGGCAGTTGTCACAATTATCTTGATGCTTTTCTGGCTGTTCCTTCCTTCACATGATCCTCACCACAACCATTTAAAGAACAAGTATGTGACTGCATGAGTCGAACATCAACAGGCCTGAAGCCAGAAATAGTATTATTAGAGTCACAAACTGAATCTATACAAAGTGAAAAAGTTATTATGTAAATATAAATCAAAATAATCACTATTTTTGTTTATATCCCCATTTAGGCAAAAAAAAAAGAAAAAGATACGTAAATTCAGGGGAGTCAGAGGAGGTTATTATTAAGTTCCTCTAAGAAGTGTATTGCTCTTAAAATAATAATTTCACTAAGTACATTGTGGAATGGCCCATGTGGAAGCAATTTGATATGATAGAAACAATAGGGCCTTTAAATCGGACAGTCCTGGTTTTAATTCAAACTCAGTTACTTACTGCTTGGCCTTGTGCAAATCATTTCACTCATCAGAGCCTAAGTTGTTCTCTAATTTTTAAAATGGCAATAATAATGTCTGTCTCACAGACAAGATGTAAGAGCTAGAGAGGACTCTGGTAAACATTGCATTGCATTGCTCAGCGTATAACAGGCACTCAAACTGTCTGAAGCTTTCTAACACAATTATCAGTTTTTAAGTTAAAATGTGACTAAAACTCACTCTTTCACTAAGTTTAATCATTTAGGTATTAATAAAGTATAATTTCTTAGTATTTTTCTCTGGTAGTCTATTCTTTTCTCCCTTCTTGTTTGCTACTAACCAGGAAATTATATAACTGAACCAAACCTGTTAAAAGTATGTGTAAAGGCCAGGTATGGTGGCTCATGCCTGTAATCCCAGCTCTTTGGGAGGCTGAGGTGGGTGGATCACTTGAATCTAGGAGTTCAAGTGAACTTATCTCTACTAAAAAAAAAAAGCGAGACCTTATCTCTACTAAAAAAAAAAAAAAATTCAATTAGCCAGGCATGGTGACATGCATCTCTAGTCCCACCTACTTGGGAGGCTGAGGTGGGAGGATCACTTGCGCCCAGGAGATGAGGCTCCAGTCAGCTATGATCGTGCCACTGCACTCCAGCCTGGGTAAGAAAGCAAAATCCTGTCTTTAAAAAAAAAGTGTAAAATTTTTTAAAAACAAACTGATTTTGCATGTGGTTGTAGAAGGGTTTTCCAGTGAATAAAGATAAAGTACACAAGAATAGGTACTGCATAGACACTGGGATATCTCTTAGGTTATCTCACGAGCCAATTCAGCTTCCTACCTGTTTCTTGCCTAGTTTCCACCTAGTTGAGATTGTCAGATAAGCAACATCTGATATGAAAGACACTGCAGTAATCTACCATTAGTAAATAGCTCACATTTCAGTAAATGCCTAGCCATGTATTTAAATGGAAAAGACTATATGAACACTTCTTTAGCTAGAAGTAATATTCATAAGCAAGCATATGCAGAGTTTGCAGTTTTGACTGGACATAAAAGGTTCACAAAACTTCCAGCAGTTATAATAGCTAAGATAATACCTATTTCTAATGAATAATACAGTGGTCACCGGGTGGATAGGCCTTTCAATTGTAAAAATCCTTGCCATTTGTTTTCAACCATTTGGTATTTTACCTACAGGATCAATCATTGTCATGTTTAAAGTATACAGTATACTCATACAGTTGTCACAGAAATGATGAACAGTGGTTAAAGAGGTATAACTTCAAGTTGAGAAAGACAATTTACAGCACACAGCAGCATACTCAATTTTTTTTATGAGTATTTCTGTGAGATCACCACAAGAGTCAGAGTGACATCTCTAAGGAATTGCTGATAAGGACGTCTGGTTGGGGACAGTGAGCCACGCTAGAAATCCTGGAGCAGAGTAGGCAAGATGATGGCAGTGTTCATCTAACTACTACCCTGGGGATCCCAGCAAACCACAGCCAGAGAAGCGAGGTGTAGCAGGGATGTGTCAGCAACAACTGGCTTGATTGCTCCTGGTTAAGGCTGGAAGAGATTTCCTTAGCATATGAAAGTTCTCATTCACAAGATCATGCACAGAACTAAATGGGACTAGAAACAAAAGATTAGAAACTATGTCTATTTCATCAATATCTTATCACTAATTTTCAAAAATAAATCATCAGATGCTAATTTTGCCAAGTACTCCTCGAAGAGAAAATGGAATATTTGACAATGCTCCATAATGTAATAGCAACAAAGACCAGCGGACTTATAGTACAAAAAAAAAAAATACCTACAGATCCTAGAAGTAACTGCTATAACAGAATTTAATATAGCACCTGACAGCACAGCACAGTAGCCCATTAATCAACAAGTATTCACTATCTATGTGTATACTGCTGTAGAAGATTTAGGGAGAAAGAATAAAATGAGATCACCGCCCACATCAGTCAGGCCAGGAAGGACATGCAAAAGTAAAAGAAGGCATTGCAGAAATGCCCTTCCCTGAACCTCCAGCTCTACAGCAAATCCAAAGCAATGTGACATTGGACAAGGAAGGCTTATCATTCTGACTTCAGTCTTACTCTCCAGGCTCAGATCAGGGGCTTTCTCCCAAGGTCAGATTTCCTGTGTTTGCTAATGCATCTCGGGTCATGCTAGATAACTCTTTCAATCCATTAGTGTGCGTCATTGATCCTACTGGTCCTTCTTTAGCTTTATGAATGATGCCTTTTATGTAAAACACTTGAGAATTCCCAAACGATGATCGCCATGGGGTTAATCCAGGTAGTGCATAGAAGTGTAATAACAATAATGCCTAATTTTAGGATTTAGTATGGGTTCTCCAGAAGCAGACCCCAAGTAGGGAACAGTGGTAGGGAAGTGGGGAAGAGAGACAAAGAAGGAAAAGCATCTAATAAATCAGCTGCCAGAGTGGGTGCTTGGAGCTGAATTCCCTGGGGAAGCTTTCAGAACTAGTGCAAAACACAGCTTCAGAATTATCTCATCTGAGGGTGAGGGAGCTGGAGTATTTATATGTCACCTCTAGAGAGTTATTAGATGAGGGCTGCTGGAAAAGCAAGCATATTAATTCCCTAGAATGAACTGCTGTCCATGGGCAAATCAGCATTTGAGATGCAGGTGCTGACAGTAGAAAGTTCACAAGAGAAATGTGAAAGGTCCTGGGGATAAGGGTTGGCTCTGGTAGCATCTGCCCCATTAACATTCAGGTAAGTAGCCCTATTCTTGTTTATCCACTAGAATAAGTGACAAATTAATTCAATGTGAAAGTACTAGGAAACATAACTAATTCTTTTTTAAAATAAAACTGTAGATTTTTTTCACTGTTTACAAAGAACATTTTCAGCCAACGCAAATGTTCAAGATATTTTTGGTGTTTAATCTAAGAAAAGCTATCATAAATTTCTGCCTAGCTATTCATTTTTGCTCATTTCTTAAACTAACTATATATATATATATAGTTTATATATATATATAGTTTATATATATATATAGTTTATATATATATATAGTTTATATATATATATAGTTTATATATATATATAGTTTATATATATATATAGTTTATATATATATATATATATAGTGTGTGTGTGTGTGTATATATATATATATATTTTTTTTTTTTTTTTTTTTTTTTTTTGGAGATAGGTTCTCACTCTGTTATCCAGGCTGGAGTGCAGTGGTGCAATCATGGCTTATGCAGCCTTTAACCTTCTCTCAAGCTATGCTCCCGCCTCAGCCTCCTGAGTAGCTGGGACTACAGGCAGGCACCACCATACCCAGCTAATTTTTGTATTTTTTGTACAGACAGGGTTTCACCATGTTGTCCAGGCTGGTCTTGAACTCCTGAGCTCAAGTGATCTACCTACCTTGGCCTCCCAAAGTGCTGGGATTACAGGTGTGAGCCACTATGTCCAGCTTAAACTGTGATTTTTAAAATATTAAAATACATCATTTGACGCGTGAGCTTTGATTCCACTGATATGTTTCATCTAACTTAACGTGCTAATTAGCATTTCCGATTTATATTTGTGCTTTTTTAAAGTCAAATTTGTTTTTAAAGATTTATAAAAAGGTAAATTCAAGAAGAATTCACTGATCTAAGCTTCCATGCTCTCACGGCCATATCGGTAGTTTTCTGTCCTGATCTCCCCTGCCCCTTCCATCTTATTGCATGTGAGCTCCTTAAGGTTAAAGGGACTGGGTCTAAAACTTCTCAATATTTTCCAAATTTCTAACAAGAAGCCAGGTTTACTTTCCAATTTTTGAAAAACAGTCCCGTTTTGCTTTTAATAGTTTGGAAAGGTGAGCTGGAATCTAGTGAAATTTCTTCAGTGCTGAGAAATGCTCCTTATAATATACAACCTATAACTCACCATTATAAACTATCTGACCTACGTCCCCTGCTGGTTTCCCCATATTTCACTAAAGGACCACAGGACCAGGCGAGATCTCCCAGCAAAGCACTTCATTGAGTGACTGAAACCTATTTTATTTTGAACTCTGTCCCTCAGTAGGTCACTTATCTTGCTGTACCTTAGATTCTTCAATTATAAAAAGATGATTTGTTGCTAATTAACCTTGATTCACACTCTAATTGGGCACTAAAGTACAAGTCACTACACAGAATTAGAGGGTCTCTATGCAGTGGGCTCAAAAGCAACTAACTTTAAATAAAAGGGTTTAATATAAAGTGGCTTAGATCAAGGTGAAATTAGTATTAAGAGCATTCAAGTCATTTGGAAAATAAAGACTGAGTGAACATTGCTTTCACAAGGAAGTTCTTAACCGCTTCTGTAACTGCTGATTTTTAACATGTTTTTATACTGTATAAAAATGTGTCCGGTTGAAATAAGATTTTTTTAAAAGAGTAAAATTGGCCAGGTGCAGTGTTCATGCCTGTAATCCCAGTACTTTGGGAGGCCAAGGCAGGCAGAAGGCTTGAGCCCATGAGTTCAAGGCCAGCCGGGGCAACATGGTGAAACCCCATCTCTACAAAACAATTAGCCAGGCATGGTGGCACACACCTGTAGTCCCAGCTACTTGGGAGGCTGAGGTAGGAAGATTGCTTGAGCCCAGGAGATCGAGGGTACAGTGAGCTGTGATTGTGTCACTGCACTCCTGCCCAGGTGACAAAGTGAGATCCTGTGTTAAAAAAAAAAAAAAAGAATGCTATTGAAATATGCATTCACATTATTAAGTATTTATTAAATTACTATTATAGAATAGAAATTATACTTAACAAAGAGAGTTCACCCCTTAAAAAATAAATGAAACATAGAGAAACAAAAAAAAAAAAAAGAAAGAGTTGACATGAGATTTGTTTCCTTCATTCTCTGGCCCTCTGTTACCATGATGCTCAAATCTTAAATGCCACCTGGAGGGACAAGGATAACAGAAAAATAACTTCCATGTGATATACTGAAATTGGCAGGGGACAGTAGAAGACTTCTCATTGTTCTTCTAACCTCCACTGCCTTATTGAGGTATTGTCAATTACACCATCAAGATATCTTTATCAGGCATTATTATCATAGTTTACCTGGCATGATCTATTTTAGTCTAAGAGGTGACCAGGGACATGGTTAGAGAGCTAAATCTGTCATTCAAAAAATTAATTATTCCTCCTACTAAATACTCTGCTAGAAAAATAGAGAAAGAAGCACTGGGACTTTCCAAATGCTGTCATGTCTATGAGTGTTTAAGATGTTATTAATTCTTAAAGGAAAAATAGGCCATACCAAAGAAGTCACATGACCAACAGCTATCTTATCAAAGTGCTCTGCAGTATAAAAAAAGTCCTCTGACACTGTTCCTTATAGAGAAATTTAATATTAAGTGTACAGGTAATAAGTTGTATTGTTTATACACGGGATGACTTCAAGTCCTGGTTTGTCTAGATTCTGCCTGGTCTCACAATGTAATTTTCCCCTGTCACTCTCAACAATGTCCTAGTTTGGACTATTGATTAGATGATCACCTATTTATACAGTAATCTATGATAATAAAAGGAAATTTTATGATATCTTCTTGTATAAAACCCCTATACTATTTAAATAGGCCAAGTTGGCAGGAGCTAATTCATCTCTGACTTGAATTTTACCAACAGACAGAACAAATCAGAATATCCATTCTGATTTTTTAAAGGAATACATTAAATGTGTCCAAGAATTCTAGAAATGGTTATGATATGACAAGCTACCCAGAAACATGCAATAATC
Source organism: Homo sapiens (assembly GCF_000001405.40). Lineage (NCBI taxonomy): Eukaryota > Metazoa > Chordata > Mammalia > Primates > Hominidae > Homo > Homo sapiens. The sequence continues at coordinate 197,863,429 of NC_000002.12, read as the reverse complement.
GATCACATTTATCTATCTGTTATCAGACTAATAGTCATAATACTATTTTATATAACTGATGGATGCAAATATAACTGTTTTGAGTACTTTTAAACACAATTTACAAATTTTTAATGGAGAAAACATTTTAAGTTTGTCCAACACTGAATTTTATAAACAGCATCAAGCCTTTTCATCACATTCAGTGTCTTCCATCTGTAAAATCAGAACATTATTATTGCTAAATAATTGCGTGAAAGGCACATAATCATTAAAAAAAAAAAAAACGCTTTAAGAAAAGACCAGAGAGTGCAAACTCTTATCTATATTTACCCAGCAGAGTTCCGAGAGCAAAATACACAAAAACTCAAAAGGCTAAAATATCCTTTTCTAACAACCGTCTCTAATTTAAGACATATTATTGAGCATCTACTGCGTTCCAGGAACATGTACGTTACATTTGTAATAGACCCTAGCTGTGTTTGGCTTGCCATGTCAGCTTTACCCTACTTTTGAAGTCTCCTATTGTTATCTAGAATCTACTCTTCTCCAGTCTCAATCTGTGGGCTTAGGATGAGGGTCCCTGACTTTGTTCCAGAAGAACAACAAGTGAAGCAAGAGAGAGGCCTGAGACAATCAAGGTATTCCATCCTTCTAGTTCATCTGGGGTTGGACAGACACATGACTCACACCAGATCAAGCAGTCCTAAACAGATCTAATCTCAGGCATTTTCCTGAGATTAGAAAACCATTCTTTTCTATTGTACTTAAACCAAAAGAATACAGGGATTTAAACTATTACAACTAAAGTGTTCCCACATCAAGCCTGAGACTGGCACCAACACAGAAGAAAGAGACAAAAAACATGGAGAAAGAAAAACTGGGTCTTCATTACCTCCTCAGGCCCCTACATCCAGCTGTACTGAAATGTATTCCTCTTAACCCTCCCTTTATATGACCAATAATTTCCCATTTTACATTTTCTGTCTTTTGCAACTAAATGTCTTGACTAATAGATCTGATTTCACTAGAAATAAACTAAAGACAAGTAGTAGCATGTACTTCCTTTTCCTTTTATTTCCGTATCTCTTTTCACTTATTATTCTTAGCTCTCCAATAATCAGCAAATCAAGTTAGCATTTATCAGAAAATATTTATTATTGTCAGTTATATAAAGAACAGTATTTCAAACTAATTCTCCAAATGATTGTTTTTAGATGCAGTGCAGATTATTATGATCATGGCATCACCAGGAGAACCTGGTTGATTCTCATAATCATTTAACAGGTTCTTAAAAGTTATAGATGCTATCTAAATTATTAAAATCCATGTAACTCATCTATCTGTAGACTCAGATTAATTTAATTACTCAATAAGGAGACAATTAATTATCACTTAAAGGGGAAAATGCTAGAAGTTTGCTTTATTGGTTTTCTTAATCACATATATACAATTCCATTAAACTGAAAAAGAAGAGTGCCGTGAGCCTTTGTCAAATTGCTAAATATATTACTTTTTCCGTATTTTAAATTATTATTCATCTTCATTCCAAAACCAAGCTTTCTTCAGCAAATTCCTTATTTGATATTGAGGATATAGGAAAAAAACAAAGTCAGTTTCTCCTATACTGTCACTCAACAGTCAACACAAAAGATTTCTGTGACCAAATGTAGGGGTAGGGGTTCCCCCCCATACACCAAGCAAGCAATCACTTCTGCAGCAGACACCAGCTGGGTGTCCTCTAATTCAAGTCAATTGTGACACTCTCTACCTGGAGGTAGTTCAGATCCCACAGGTTGAAGTCTCAGTCCCCAAGACTTCCCCTCCTTATCCTCCACCCACCACCATTCTGATGCCAATTGCAAATTCCAGGTTATTTTACCTGTGCTTCTGACCAATCGGCTATAATCAGGGTTTCCACAATCCCCTACTCAAGTTTGATTAATTTGCTAGAGTGGCTCACAGAACTCAGGGAAACACTTATTTATACTTTCTGGTTTATTTAAAACGATGTTACAAAGGATACTGATGAACACCAGATAAGAGATGGATAGGGCAATGTATGGGGGAACGGACACAGAGCTTCCATGCCTTCTTTAGGTGCTCCACCTTCCAGAAACCTTCATGTGGTCAGCTATCTGGAAGCTTATCCAAAGCTTTTATGGAGGCTTCATTATGTAGGTATGATTGATTAAAATATTGTCTATTGGTGATCAACTTAAACTTTATCCCCTCTCTCCTTCTCAGAGGTTGGGGAATAGGGCTTAAACAGTTCCAACTACATAATCATGCCTTGGTCTTTCTTGTGATCAGCCCCCATCCTGAAGCTACCCAGGGGCTGCCAACCACCAGTCATCTCATTAGCAAACAAAGAGACGCTTATCACTTTGGAGATTTTAAGGATTTTAGGAGTTGTATGCCAGGAAACTGGGTGAAGATCAAACACAGTCATGTGCCACTTAAGACAGGGATCCCAATCTAGACAATACCATTCTGGACATAGGAACGGGCAAAGATTTCATGACGAAGATGCCAAAAGCAATTGCAATAAAAGCAAAAATTGACAAATGGGATCTAATTAAACTAAAGAGCTTCTGCACAGCAAAAGAAACTATCAACAAAGTAAACAGACAACCTACAGAATGGGAGAAAATTTTTGCAAACTATGCATCTAACAAAGATCTAATATCCAGCATCTATAAGGAACTTACAAATTTACAAGAAAAACGGTCCCATTAAAATGTAGCAAAGGACATGAACAGACACTTTTCAAAAGAGGCATGCATGCCGTCAACAAGCATATGAAAAAAAGCTCAACATCACTGATCATTAGAGAAATGCAAATCAAAACCACAATGAGATATCATCTCACACCAGTCAGAATGGCTATTATTAAAAAGTCAAAAAATAACAGATCCTGGTGAAGTTGCAGAGAAAAGGGAACACTTATACACTACCGGAGGGAGTATAAATTAGTTCAACCATTGTGGAAAGCAGTGTAGTGATTCCTCAAAGAACTAAAAGCAGAACTACCATTTGACCCACCAATCCCATTACTAGGTATATACCCAAAGAAATATAAATCATTCCACCATAAAGACACATGCACACATGTGTTCATTGCAGGACTATTCACAATAGCAAAGACATGGAATCAACCTAAATGCCCATCACTGGTAGACTGGATAAAGAAAATGTGGTACATATCCACCAAGAAATACTATGCAGCCATAAAAAAAGAATGATATCATGTCCTTTGCAGGGACATTAATGGAGCTAGAAGACATTATCCTTAGCAAACTAACACAGGCATAGAAAACCACATACCACATATGCTTATTTGTAAGTGGGAGCTAAATGATGAGAACACATGGACACATAGAGGGGCACAACAGATACTGGGGCCTACCTGAGGGTGGAGGGTGGGAGGAGGGAAAGGATCAGGAAAAACAACTGATGGGTACTAGGCTGAACACCTGGGTAACAAAATAATCTATACAACAAACCCCTGTGACACAAGTTTACCTATATAACAAACCTGCACATGTACCCCTGAACTTAAAAAAATTTTTTAAAAGACAGAGATCTGTTCTGTAATGTGCACTGTTAGGCAATTTTGTAATTGTGCTTATATCATAGAATGTATTTATCCAAAACTAGGTGGTATAGCTGACTATACACCCAGGCCTATTGCTTCTAGGCTACAAACCTATACTGTATGTACTGTACTGAGTACTATAACAATCATAACACAATAGTAAGTATTTGTGTATCTAATCATAGGAAAGGTAATAGATATCACTACGACTTTATGACCACTACAACTCATGAGACCATAGAAATTTTTCAGCTCCATTACAATCTTATGGGAGCATTGTTGTATGTGTGGTCCATAGTTGGCCAAATTTTGTTATGTGGTGCATCACTGTATATATTTCACAATTTCACAGATATAAACTGAAAAAGGCAAGACATTTTAATGTCTCATATACAAACTTTTTAAAAGAAAATACAGTAAAATTTTTAAGCATTTTATTTTTAAAAGGTATAAGTAGGTTTAAAATTCAATCTAATTTAAACAACAGATTAAGAATTTATAAAACTGAGTATCAGACACATCTGAGGGAGTCTTATTTATGTCTAGTTCTTCTCTTCTTCCATGGAAGCTTCTCTTCAATTCGTGTTTATTTAACCTCAGCAGAAATAAGAAGCAAGGTAGGAAGAGGAAGAAGAGAAAGCTAACATATTTCAGGATCTCCTATTTCAGGCAGAGCTAGTGGTAGATTATAAACAGCCACATTTCTTTGCAGCTCATTCTATCAAGCAATGGAATCTACTTTTCGACTCCTTAAATCTGGGCTAATCTTATGCCTCACTTTGATGAATAGAATGCAGCACAAGTGGGAGTTCTAAGCATAGACGTCACGAGGCCTTCCAGTTTTCTCTCTCTCCCTCTTTAAAGGCTATGCCATGTGAGCAGCTCTGAGCTAGTCCACTAGAGAGGCCCCATGGAGGAGTAACAAGGTAACCAGCTAATAGCCTGACAACTGCCAGACAGTTGACTGAGGCCATCTTAGATCACCTACTCTCTGCCAACTGACTGCTATCACAAGAGTGAGCCAAGGCCAGATCAGCAGAAGAACCACCAAGCAGAGCCCAGGCTGAAGGGCTGATCCACAGAATTGTGAACAAATAAAATAGTTACTGTTCTAAGCTGCTAAGTTTTGGAATGGGCTGTTATTTGGCAATAAATAACTGATAAAGTGCTTTACATGATTATTTTGCTTAATCTTAATAAGAAAGTTACAAAATAAACATGGCAGACCCTAGGGTTGTGAGGCATGAAATTTATCCAATTTGGGAAGCTTTCATTAGGAAAAATAGTACACATAATATAAAAATAGGAAAATAATACAAAATGTACATACAAAGGAAGTAAACATATAATTATAAACCCAAAAATATCCATGGCCATTTCAGTACCACCCCGCATAAGGGAGAACGCGATAGAGGAAAAATCAGAATGGAGACCACAGGCTTAATAAAAACAGCCATGTGAACACATGGCTCAGGCCCTTTGGAGGGCTTGATTCGCTAAGCCTCATTAACTTCACAGGAAATATACTTCAACGGTTAGCATTACTTTATTTTACAAGAGGAGCTACAACTCAGTGGCTGTCACTTGCCTTGGGATCACATGGATAGCATGCTGGAGAGCCAGGATTTGAGCTCAGGTCCCTTTGTTTCCAAAACATGTGCTCTTTGCAATACCCAGGCTACCTCCCTACCAATAGATCACATATTCATTTTGACCTTGTAATCTACTCCACACCAAGTTTTATATCAATTGAAAACACCTCTACTTCAGTATTCCGAAACATACCCCACTGCAAAACCTATCTAAGTACTTCTCTCTCATGAGGTATGTTCAACAGCCCCATGATGTAGGAGTAAGAGGGCCTGGTTTCCTGTCCATTTCTCTGATTAGATGAAGAAACTGCAGAGTAAATGCCCTCAGTCAGGGACTCTTTTGGCTTCCTTTTTTTTCAAGATCCCTTTCACCATATGTCAACTTCCTCTTGGGCAAGGTTATATAATTCCAGAAACATTGAGTGCTGCCATCTTGCTTGCCTACCTATTTTATGCCCTTGCCTTTGCATTTTTTCATTCATTCTATTTGTATCAAGTTTCTTCAAGTGCATATATAAACTTGCTTATGCACAATAAGCCCAGAGTGAAACCATGCTTTAATAACTTGTAATTAATCATTCTGTGTTCAGCTAGACCCATCACTGCTCACTCTCCTTTCAAATGACCTTCACTAGAAAACTAGTGAATCATTACTACAACATGGAAACCAGATTTCTTCTCTTTTAACATTTAAATAGACTGCTTGTTTGCAAGGAATTCCTAGCTTTTCACCTCACTAAACTGATACAATCAGCTGATTATTTGTTTTGCAGCTCAGTTTCAAAGTCAGAAGCCCTGATCAGCAGTACTATAGTAGTTTATTCAGTGTACCTATGCCTATCAGAGAACAAACTTTCTGTGTAAGGTTTAACCTTGGGAGAAAAATTAAGCTGCTGGAGAATATAGCTGAAGATCTCTGCAGAGGTTGTACTGGTGGTGATTTAAAAGCATGCCAGGCAGCCTGGTATAGAGAAAAGAATGCAGGAAGGGTTCAGAGATGGCCACATGCCATTTCTGGTAGCTTCAGCTGTAAAATTCTGTCAATATATTGACTTTCTCCTTATCAAAGTGATCTTAAAAAAAAAAAAGTTCATTCTCTTTTTTTTAAATTTCCAACTTTTATCTTAAGTTCAGGGGTACATGTGCAGGATGTGCAGGTTTGTTACATAGGTAAACATGTGCCACAGTGGTTTGATGCACATATCATCCCATCACCCAGGTATTAAGCCCAGCATCCACTAGCTACTTTTCCTGATCCTCTCCCTCTTCCCACCCCTCATTCTCAATAAATATTTTTAAAGTACAGGAATTCTAAATATACAATCGTCTTAAAGTTAGACCACTTTGAAAAAACTTCAAAAAGCCTCATCATAATGTATTTTTAAAAGTAGTTTTAAACAACAGAATAAAGGTAATGAAGAATATTGTAGGTAATAAATGTTAAGTCACAAATATTGCAAATAATGGCAAAATAATGGCTCATTTCATCTTTACCTATACATTGGTCTTTGGTTGTCTGAACTAAACTTGGAAACAAATCAATGAAATGTCCTGTGAAGGGTTTTTCATATCTTATATATTGTATAAACCACTAGGCTAGCTGTAATTCTTCAACTTCCAAGTAAAATAGTCCAGGTTGAAATTTAATAAAATTCCAACTGATTCTTCCCTAGAGAGCCAAAACTCACTTTTATATAATTCGTAACTGCATACATACAATAAATTTAAAATGTTGACAATAACATTCTGTTAAAGATAAATGCTTTTCTGATTTTTTTCAAGTTCATTTCCTGCATAGGTACCTTTTGGTAAGTTGTTTTATAAAAATAACATTTAGAAAACTGTCATTGTAGTAACAGTAAGCCAAACAGCATAAATCTAAGATCCTATAATGCTAAAGAAATTTTAGCATCATTCTCCTCTAACTTATCTCGACTTCTATCTCATTTATCAATTGTCTTTACAATAAGCATGGTTGGATATGACAACTATAAAAAGGAAGTAAACGTTCCATCACAGTGTCACTATGACCTACGGGGCTGGACCTCTAAGTAGTCCATGAACTCCCTAAATTGGGAAACAAAATATTATGCATATGTGTGTTTCCTCTAAGACCAATAAAATAAAAAGCACAGCAAGACAAGTAACTCAAAATTGTCTGATATGTTCTTAAAGTTCCATTCAAAATCACCTTAGAAAGTAAAGCTTATGCAGTGAGACAAAATTTGGTGGGGACACTTGCTGTAGATATGGCTGGCCTCTGTTTTAGGTTCAAAGGAGGTGACCAAGCTAAAACAGGTGCCCTTACTGAGTAACATTCTGAAGTGACATATTTTATGGTGCTCCAATGGCACATTTGAACAACTGACTGAGAAGCAGAGGTTAACCAGGATGTTTCTCCTGTAGTGAATTAAAAGCATAGACATTAACAATTTAGCCACTGAATTGGTCTTTGGTCATCTGAATCAGGATTCAGGTGAAGCAGGATGGGCCCCGTTAAAGAAGGCTAGGCACAAAGACTAACCCAAGTGGAGAAGTGATGTGGAACAAGTGAAGGACATCAAGTTGGCAAACCTACATTAGGCAAGGAGTAAAGTTAGCTAGAGGTGTAAGTAACTAGGCTCTTGGAATTATAGAAAGACATGGAAGCAGATAAATTAAAACCCAGCCAACTAGATTGTTCTGGAGAAGCCTGTAGAATCCAAGCAGGAGCCCAGGACCAGACTAGCTGGGCTATCAGAAAAGGTGGAAAGAAAGTGATAGTGCAGAATTTTGGTCACAAGGAACAAGAAAAAGGCTTATTAATAGAATCAGACAAAGGCATAGCAAAACCAACCAAAGATTGATTTGTTGTGAATGACCAGATTAAGTCACTAAGAACAGGACTGGTAGAAAAACCTAAACCAGGGCAGAATCCACATGTGGGGATTAAGCGGCTTCAGCTCTGAAAAAAAATAGCAGTGTGCCAGGAAAAAGGGCAAAGCTAAAATGAAGAGTGGGATTTACTTACAGTAGAATGGGCAAGCATGTAAGCTGAGAGGAAACTAATGTCAGGTGCCAGTCACAAACACGGATGCAAGGAACAGTTTATTCCCTTAGCCCACCTCTCAGTTTAACAAAATTCTTTCCCCAGTTTCCTTAAACTAAATGAGGAAATCCGTATACTGACTTGAATATTTATGAGCTTTATTAAGTTACTTGCTCCCAGAATATTAGCCAAAAGAGGGCCTCAACTAACACAAGGATCTTTATCCTAGTGACTGACCATTTCAGTTATCCAAAAGAATATTCACAATGACCACAGGACAAGCTGTAAAAATTCTGTCTTTATTTTAAACATGTAATTTTCAGAATAATATTTAGCTTAAGCTTTAAACCAAAAAGCAAAAGCATGGGGGAGGGGAAAGCATGGCATTACAGTACCAAAAAAAGTGACAAGCCATCCAACTGAGACCCTCCATAATTAATTCAGGCAACTCCTGAGTGCTAGTAATTTCAGGCCCTTAAGTAATTTGTATCTTCCCTCCTTTTCTCCTTACACAAATGCTTAAAAATAAACTTACCTCATTACACTTCAACAAAAAATATAGCCCTAGTATACAGATACACAAGTGGAGTCCTTGTACACAAAATTTTATAATATTATGTATGTATTTCTTTATAAATAAATGTTAACATAAATTATGGCATCCAGAAAACTTTATTTCAAATTCTTGCACTATATACCTTTGCAAACATTATAATGCTTAATAAAAACTCATTTGAAGATTTTTTTTTGCTGGAAACTAAAGAAGCATGAAGACTCTCAACTAGTCAACAATGTAATGTAATTTAAGACGAAAATGGGTCCATTTCCTTCCTTTAGGAAATCTCCTAGAGATGAGGCTGAGGCAGAGAGAAGCCTCACTCAGTAAGAAATCAATATATGTTTAGATTTATGTTTGAATTGGCTTGGTATTCCACTTGTTGGGAAAAGGTAGAGTTAATCTTAACCTCATACTATTGCTGGTCACTCCTAAATTCCAGCCCCATTTCAATTCAGAGTACCCTCCTTCTTCAACAAATACTTTTGTGTAACTGTTTTGTGCCAGAAATTGCACTCAGGGCCAAGGATGCAGTGTTGAAGTGACACAGGGCCTGCCCTCACGGAACCTCTGAACTCACAAGCTAATAATGTGCGTAAGAATCACCCAAGGGGAATGTTAAAATTCAGATTCTCAGACCCAGCATGGGTCCCCAAAGCTTCCAAGGATTCTGATGCAGGTGAGGTGGTCTTTAGGAACACACCCTGAGGAACTGGTCCAGATGAAGCCCCCTCCAGATAGATCCTATAAGTGTCTGCTACCACTGAATCTCCAGCACTGACCACATATTAGATATTTCAGTACATATTAAATTAGTCTACAAACAGGAGATGGAAGAATGAAGAGATAATCCCTATTCAGTGTGGCAGGTACAATGATAGAGGTGCCATAAAAGCATAAAATGGGGCAATATAGCTTGGGTAGAAACAGGGACAACTTCCTAGAGAAGGCAGCCCTTGAACAAGTCTTACAGGATGCATAGGAGGGAGTCAGGTAAGAAAGGCCATTACAAACAGAGAGACAGCAAGAGCAGAGGCAGTGAGAAATAGCAAGATTTAGGCAGAAACTACACGTTTTGTTGCTACTGGCTCTAGAGGCAAGAAATGCTGGCACTTTAACTACATTATCTCTAACCCTGATAGCCCTCTTCCAGTTAAGGATGATTATTCCTGTTTCACAAATAAGGAAGGTGAGGCACAGAGAAATTAAAGTTTGTCCTAGGAAATGATATCACAGTTCCTCAAAAAATTAAAGCTAGAATTACCATATGATCGATCCAGCAATCCCACTTCCGGGGAATATACCCAAAAAACTGAAAGCAGGAACTCAAACAGATATTTGCACACCTGTGTTCATATCAGCATTATTCTCAATAGCTAAAAGGTGGAAGCAACACAAGGGTCCATCATTAGACGAATGGATAAACAAAATATGGTACATACCTACAATGGAATATTATTCAGAATTTAAAAGGAAGGAAATTCTGATACCTGCTACCACACGAATGAGCCTTAAAGACATTATGCTAAGTGAAATAAGCTAGTCATAAAAGGACAAATATTGTACGATTCCATTTATATGAGGTACATAAAAGAGTCAAATTCATAAAGACAGAAAGCAGAATAGTGGCCACCAGGGAGTGGAGAAAGGAGAAAATGGGGAGTTTATGTTTCATGGCTATAGAATTTCAATTGGGGAAGATGAAAAAGTTCTGGAGATGGATGGTAATGGTTGCAGAACAATGTGAATGTACTTAATGCTTAAAAATGGCTAAAATAGTTAATTTTATGTTAAATATATTTACCATAATAAAACAAAATTTATACAGATAGACAGACATAGATACATATTATAGATGTATATAGATATCCTAGTGGCTGCTCTGGGATTCAAGTCTAGCTCTGTTTTCTAAAAGGAGTGACTAGTTTCACCCTCAGGCCCAAAATAGGAGAGGTTTAAAGAAGGGACCTTGGCCAAAGCTACCTACAACCCGCCAGCATCTTAGAATTATAACATTAATTAGCAGTGACTGGCATCTATCAACATTTCTATACATATATGAACATTGAAGAAAAATCCATCGGTATAAAAATGTTAAATGACAGAAGCAATATGATATATTAATCCTGAGAGCAATAGTAAAAGATAGTTACACACCTTCATCTCCTCCTTTAATCTACAATAAATGCAAATGAATGAGCATATTAAGTGCTTCCTATCTCTTTTTAATCACTACCATGCCATTCCAAGCATAGAGATTTTTTTACAAGCTGTAGCAAACAGATAACAGTCATGAAGTTGGTAAAACAATGTGTAATCAGATGACAATCTAGAGCCAGGATCAGTACTCTCCAGCTGCCTTGTCAAGAGTTTGGCTGGCCAGGGCAGGCTGCAGCACACAGCAGTGCCATCTCCCCACCATCCTCCCTGCTCCCTCCCCCACCCTACCACATTGCAGCTGTGCAACAGGAGGTGCCAGGAATTGAAAGGCACGTTGCCTTGAATGATATTTTTGCCCTCATTCCACATGCTATTAAGTCCCTCCTACCTCCAACTATCACCACCCGGTACATCAAAAACATGGCCAAAGCTGTCGCTGAATTCATTCACTGCATTTGCTGCAGCTTTAAAATACATAGCAAAATCAAATGCCAACCATCCTTATTCATATATGAGAGGAGAGCTATTTGGAAATTGTTCTACATTGACCTTTTACTACCAACAGCAAATCCAAATGCCCAGCCATGAGCCATCTATCTTGTGGCCTCACATTGGTACAGAAATGCAATCTTAATATATAATCATCAGGGTTTGGGTGAGGTGGAGTCAGGGGAATGGGGCCAGGTGCCAGTACTTCTTCTATTTCATCTTGTTGGGGTCTAAAGGCCCCTTGAACTTTGTCCAAGGCTAGACCTTCTTGTCCTCCTGGTCTCCTCTAACATGCCTATTTCCATACCAGGACCTGCAGGTGAGGGGTAAGAGAAGTGAAATTGCTCCCCCTGGAGCCAATGTCTTTTCTCCCCCACTGTCTCTACTGCTTTTCACTACTTTCCCCAGTTCCTGTCTCTTCTCTTTCTTATCACTTGTACCCAGATTTTAGGTGTCATTGGGAAAGTCTTTCTTCTTATAGCGGCTCAGGCAGCATGCCTTGCCATAAACACCAATAGCTTCATATGCTTCTTCAAATAAAGACCACTGCAGCCAATCAGAGCACTGCTTTTATTCCAGACAGATAGCTAATCAATACTTCTATCACTGTGCAATAGAAAAAACTCTTCAGATTCTAGATTGATTATTACTTGATAAGCTACGTAATTACTAAAATGCATCTGTACTGACTGTTTTGTTGTATTTTTTCTATGTATGTAGAACTGCTCCCAAAGTCTGAAGTTTCCGGAAATCCTATCTTCATGTTTACAAAAACTGCATTTACATAAAACAGATGTCAGGGAGGAAAAAAGTTTTTCCGCTGCTCTCTTAGGTTTATTTCCTGGAGGTATGTGAATTAAACTGACAGAAAATAAAATAGCAAGAGAAAAGAAGGAGTTTATTTACACGTGCAATGCACACACATGTGGGAGTGCCCAGTGATGACTAACTCAAAGGGGTGGTTAGAATATGAGACTTATATACCTAACTTTGTGGGGAAAGGGGAGGAAGCTCCTATGGGAAAAACAGGTAGGCTTCCTTAGGAAAGGCAAATCAATTTTTAGGAGAGCAAACGGTATATAAGAAAGTTTGTGATAATGTTTGTTTATGGAGGTGCAAGTGGTCTTTCTGTCTTCTTCATGGCCATGAAACTCTCCTGGAGAGAGGATTTATGGTAGCCTCATTTCCCACAAGTTGCTGCTTTTAGTCAGATAAGGGAAGCTCCAATATGTGTTCTTGAATCTCAAATGTCTCCAGCTTGAAATAAACTTTATACCAACTCAGGGATTCCCGTAGGTCCCCACTCCAAAGATGAACACCTGAAGTAGGTAGGTGTAGTTGTTGTACAGACAATATAACCTGTCTTCTATAATACTGGAAGGGAAAAAACATATAAGCCATAAAGTAACTCTCCTGATATGTATATGGCCTTCGGGTTTATTCTACTTATGAAACCCACCTTCTTATCAAGTACTGAACCCTCCTAATTTTTCTCATTCCAAATATTACTAAAAATTATAAGCTTGCTCGTTTATTCCTACATGCATTCTCTATTTCACACAAACACACACACACCATATTTATCAAGACAATTCTGACAATCATATATTCTAAACTCCATGCAGGATTCACACTTTCTCAAATAATTGACAAAAACGTGCATTCCTTGAGTTCGTATGTTCCAAAAAGCACTTAGCTCACTGTCTGAACTGGAAATGGCTTAATTACCTTGGGACAAGGGGAAATGGTGGGGTGAGACAGACAGGAAGAGAAAATGAGATCAATTCCTTAAAACAAAACAGTTAGAGCAGGTAGAAACCTTGGAGAAAATCTGATTCAATCCTGTCGCAGTACTAATGAGGAAATTGCTAAACCTTGGAAAGGTTAAATCACCTGCCCAAGGGCATACCACTACCTGGTGACTGAGCCAGGCTTCCTGGCTGCAGTCGTGTGTGTGTGTGTGTGTGTGTGTGTGTGTGTGTGTGTGTGTGTGTGTCTGTGTGTGTCTGTGTGTCTGTGTGTCTGTGTGTTTAACCTCTAAGAGAATCACTGAAAACTTGTGTTAAAAGGAAATTTCAGATACATGCTTCAACAGTCAGTGGTACTTCAAGAGCACCTCAGAGAACCTGAACCAGTCACTCAAATGATAATCTACTCTCACTTTAATAATCTCCCCAGAGAGATTGCCTCTTGCTAGACATTTCTGTATTGATTTAAGGCCAGTTCTACAGATCCTAAAGGAGATGTGCTCAGTTCCTTTTATTGCTCTTTAAAACCTCTTGATTTTCTCAAAGTCTATGAGGAGCTTCTTCCTCTCACTCTCTACCCACCACCACCATTGAATATTTCAAGAAAAAAAACATTTTAAGGTTATTTTTAAATGCCATTCTCCTTTTACATTTCTCCAAATTTCTTGCATTAAGCTGTACTGCTTTTGTAAGCAGGGGAGAAAAGGCAATAAATATTTATTTTTTAATTTCCATTATTCTATGTCATCTGCACATCTCACAATTACTTTAATCATTACTTTAATCATTTAAATCTTCCTTTAAAATTCAAGGCAAAAATTAAGACTTCCCACAAACACACACATGCACGCACACACAAAAAAGCCTTTTTTCTTTTGCTAATTTTTTGTTATTTTGTAGAGATGGGGTCTCTCTACGTTGCCCAGGCTGGTCTCAAACTCCTGGCCTCAAGCAATCCTCCCACCTCAGCCTCCCAAAGTGCTGAGATTACAGGCATGAGCCGCCTCACTAATATTTTCTTTTCTATTGCTATTTTGTTGTGGCTTTCAATTACACATATGACAGAATACCAAGGGTACTGCAAACCTACTGTTCCTTGCATTTATTACTCTCTTGCCTGCTACCATCCACCCAGGGATTAAAGAAGGCAGGGAAGATGGTATGTCATGTTTGTCTCCACCTTGCCAATATTCTATGGACTGTAGCCTTGGGAACAGAACCCCACCTGCCCTTTAATTCCCTCAATACCAAGTCTTCATTGTCAATTCACTTAGCACCTAGGGCATAAAATATACTTTGTGAAGTATATCAGAATACCAAAGACATATAGCTCTGCAAGTACACAGGTTGACTGCAGGGTCCATTCCCTCTAGTTAAAGAAAGGAATTTTCCGTCTCTTTACTTCCCCAGGACTGGTAGTACTTGTCTCATCTCTGTGGTCCTATATTTCTCCTGATAAAAGGTTTGGCTCCAGACACCATCACTTGGGTCAGGCCAAACCAGTCTCTAGGCAGCAACACAACACCTGCAAGTGGTTTGATTGTCCTTCTTGCCCAGAAATATTTTGACCTTGTCTATTATTTTTAAAGCCGTTTGTTCTAGTTTACCTTCTCAATCAGCCCTTCTCCAGGATCTGTCTTAGATAACTTGCCACAAAATGTTTTGTTTATTTTTTGACTCCTTCTTTTGTTCACAATGTTTTCCCACAGCAGTCTACTATGGGTTCATAACAAATGAGTCCCCACATTTACATCAAACTACCTCGGCCTAGTCCTTGTCTTCAGGAAGAAGTACATTTACACTCTACAAATCAACAAGAAAAACTCTCAGAATAGGAAGCCTATGAAAAAGCTATCTTTATTTCTCGTTGTGTAAGAGCCCATTTCTAATCCTGACGTACTCCCGTTTTACCAAGTAAGTTGAATTTCTACCTTTTCTTCTACTCTTTCTTATCAGAAATCTTAGTCTCCTTCCCTGATTTTTCTTCATAAACAGCATGTTCGTGTCAGAATTCGGTGGTTAATGAGTGCCAACCACTCACCTGTGCCAAGAAGTGTGGGTGCTCCCAAACCCATTGTTTTACCTTTCAATGAAACAGTTCAGAAATTTCAGAAGCTCATCTGTTTACAATGAGCCTACCTAGTTTCATCTGAAATAAATTCACTGGTATACTTTAGTATATATGTGCTTTATCAGAATTCATCTACTTCATTCTATAGTATGGGTTCTAAATAGTTTTATCCCGTTTAACACTTTAGAAATCTGATTATAGTTTTATTTTTTTAGCTCTCTTTAGAGGAAAGGATAGGAAAACACATCTTAAATTGCACAGCTGCACTCTCTGACTCAAGCTACCTAGCAACTGTCAAAATATAACCCAAACCACAAAGGTGTTTGAAGCTGCATGTGAAAGCTTATTCTAAGACAGATACTGCCAACTCTTCTACTGTCACATGCAGCTTGGCATTTCAGCACAAATACAATAGGGAGACAGCTTGAGAGCGGGAAAAGTGTTCTGACGGCCTAAAATGTTTCAATATTCTCCTTTGCATTATTCAGAATATAACATAAATGCATAATTAGAGCCAAAGCAATAAATTCCATGAATTACATGAGGGAAAATGTTATTAATTCCAGTTCCTCCAAATTTCAGTTTCAGTGAGTACATGTCCACATAAAAATCCAAATATCTGGGTCTCTTAGGTCAGAGTATTTAATCCTGCTCCTCAAAACTCATGTTTCAGAGTCTGCTTGGAAAAAGAAGGTAAAAATAATTTGCCAACTGCATTGCAAGGAAACTACAGTTACCTTTTTGTATTCCAGAGGTCAAATAAAAGCCATTCTCTCTATGAAAATAAAAACATCTATTGTATGAAAGACCCACTAGAAACTGTTAACAGTATTTGCCTCTGGGGTGCTGAGGATCTGGGGCACTGAGGATCTGGGGCTGACCATTTATTATATGTTCTTTCATATTGTTAAACTTTTTTCCGTGTTCACTTCTTGCTTTTAAAATATGAAACAAACATTAAAAATAAGCTAACTTGAAGGTTGCATAGGTTTAATAATGAGATTACCCCCCCGGGATGAGGAATGGGAACATGTTTATGCTGGTACCTGCAGACAATCACAGGTTTCTACAGTAAACACTCCTCCGTCAAGTGCTTTCTGACCATATTTAAGAAATACAGCTTTTCTCACTGGGACTACTGAGAAAATAAACTGGAGTTCTGTTTTGAGAATTCAAAGTACATACCATTCATGCAAACCAAAGAACACACACTTATTCAAGGACCCAGCCTACTACTTCATAGTTATAAAATGTGGAAAAGAAACCACAAGTCTCATATCAGCAATACAGCTGCACAACTCCTCAAATACTTTTCTAAAGAATTTCCATTGTATATATTAAACCCATAAAACATCCCTGAGGATCTATCATCCATATATGTCTCCACCTTGACAACATTTACTATAAAACCACAATATTTGTGCGACTTCGTTGCTTTCTCACCCTCCTACCCTAAATATTTGCACTACTTTTTCTTGCCTGGGTGAAATTAAGTTTGAAAATAATTATTTTGTAAATTACTGGGCACTCACCCATCACATTACACCCCAATTGTCTTCAGTTCTTTATTCCTTACCATATTTGTCAGCTTCTTGAGGTTTAGGGGACTCTATCCTATTTATACTTACAACCCCAGCACTTACCACAGTAGGTCCTCAATAAATGTGTTTTTAAATCTAAATAAATTCCTCCCCAAAAAGATTCCTAATTTTAACTTTTAAAATATATTTTCCTGGTGATTTGCCTTCTGGTCATCTGAATACTCAGACAGAAACCTAATATTTGCTTCTCTCGTACTACCATTAACATTCCCTCAGGGTTTGGCTAGTTGTTCTCTATACAGAGCCTCCTAAACATAATTTGCCTTTGCGATTATAATGATCTCTATATGAATCATCTCCAAATCTAATTTGCCAGTCCTGATTGTTTTCTCTTATTAGCTCATCTTTTATTTCCTGTACTTATCAAATACTTCCACCAAATGTCATGCAGACACATAATCCTTCAAATGGCTAAAACAAAACACTTCATTTTCTATACAAAGTCCAAAAAACCTGGAAAAAGTGTATATACAGCCTATTTTAGTAGCGTAGTTCCGAACAGTACTTTCAGATTTTTTTCCTCATATTGTATTTTATACCCCTCTTCCTCTCAGAGTAGACTGTTCGACCAGACCCTCGTTCTTTTAATACACCCATTTCACTAAATTTCCTAGTCTGTGGACCCTAATTTCAATTAGTATCAAGTGCACTGGAGAGGAAACCTCACCCTTCTCATTTATTCTTTTGGCTATGGCACTTAGCCTTGGTGATTTTCAAAGGATGGAGAAGAAATGAAGAAGTACATACACACACAGGCATGTTAGAATGTCCCCAGGATGTATGTAGTTATTAACTTAACTCAACATTCTCATCTAATTTACATTTGGGGGGAATCCTTTCTCTACAATATATACTATAGAGAGTGAAGCTTAACAAAATCATCTTGGCTGGAGATACGTAGGAAATATAATCACCTACATATTATGGGGAGGAAAGGTAATCAGAGTTTTAGGATGGAGTGGTAAAGATATATGTTTATCTAAAGGAGGCATGGGCTTAAAAACTACTGAGAAGCACTGCATTGGCATTCTTTTACCTGGAATACGAATTCAAATTCCCAAGAAAAGGCTGACCACGTCCTCATTCCCTCTCCCTCCACACCAGTGAATCTTTTCTTTTCTTGCCAGGCTCCTTTATGCCTTCTTTTTCCATGGCAATGGCTTTCACCACTTCATGGCCAACATTTCTATGCCAATTATCTCGTTTCTCCTACTTCCAAAGTCTAACTCAAATGTCCTATCTTTCTTCCTAGTCTACTTAAGAGAAATACTCTATATTCTTCCCTCCTTACCCCTCTTCAATTACACACACTTAGCATGTGTGTGTAAAATATTTATTTTAGTAGCTAATTGTCAAACTTGTAGAATCTTTGACTTGTCATTTTCCTGAATAAATTGTATGCCGCCCCTCAAAGGTAAGAATTCAGAGCTCTTGTGTCATTTTTTTGCCTTCATCTTGATCTTTTTATCTCACGGATGTTCTACAAATATTAACTGATTCAAATCTGAAAACACAGCCATAAGGCTGAATAACTTGTTAATCTACTAGAACCTATACACACAGCACCAAAACATCACCTATTATCTGCCTTGAGCTGAACTGGATAAGATACTAATATATATAAATAATATGTTGAAGTCTGTCCTCCAATATCCTTGCACTGACAGGAAATCTCCATCTCTCATCTTCCTTCTTCTGAATAAACCATCATTTATAATGTCTAAATGACTTCCTAGGGAAATCGAGATGACCTTTAAATCCAAGAATTCCTTCAGTCATTTCAAGAAATGCCATATATGAAGTTATAAGAACAGAACACAGAGTTTAATCCTACAACAAACTAGTTTTTTTCAGGTAATATTTACTTTAAAAACGTTTCCAAAGGCCTACAATATTGATTCACTGTATTCAAATAGCTAGAATATAATACTAAAATTTTAGAGCTCATATTAGAAATCCTTAGCCACAATTTCCATGAAGAGATTAAAATAATGAAAATGATAAATAAGTTAAATAACACAAAGATCCTTATAATCTTAGACATTTTATACTCAGTTTCTCAACTCCACTTTAAGAGTGACAGTAAGTGTAAAAGAATCATTTAAGATGCAGAATATGGTATATGTACTCAATGGAATACTGAACACCCATAAAAATAAACTATTGCTTCACACAAAAATACAGGTAAATCTCACAAATATTATGTGGAGGGAAAGAGGCCAAACACGAAGATGCATATTATATGACTCATTTATACAAAGCTCAAAAATGGGTCAAACTAACCTACGGGGTCAGAAATTAGGAGAGTGGTCACCTTTAGGATGAGGCAGCAACTGGGAGAAGGTGTGCTCCTTCTGGGGTGCTGACACCATTTTATTTCTTGATCTAGGTGCTGGTTACACAGATGGGTTCACTGTTTTGAAAATCCATCAAATTATCTATTTGAGGTTTGTACCACTTTTCTGTATATATATTTCAAATAAAAGTTTACTTGCCAAAAATAAAAAATAGTAATGTCCATAAGCTTCTTCCTAATGAAAAGTTACTTTACAGAAAATGTGTACTTCTTCAACAAAACCCATGGGTTAATTTCTAATTGCATAAAACTTGATATGTGACAAAATAATAGCACAACCAATACATGTTCCCTCAAAATGAGTAAAATAATTATTAAATATGGTGCCGCACTGCCTGGTAAAAAGATGAAAAACCTGATTCAGAAATCCATGATTAATGTTAGCATTATCTGTGAAACTAGACAAGTCAAAAATGTTCCTTGGTTCTGTTTCAACTATTTGCAATAAGAGTAAGTTTCTATATTCTTCACCAGACCTACTAAAATTGTTCCTTCCCCTTTCAGATCTAGGGAATCTTTCAATTTGGAAGTATGTAAAGTTTTGGGAAGGACAACCAAATGGAAGCAGAGTAGTAGCAGAGCCTGGGATGGATACTTCCTCCATTATCCATCTTGACCTTTAAGTCAAAAGTGAGTTCAGGATACTCCATTTGTGTTCATGCCAACTGTTTGAGATTTTCCTTGTGGATTCTCATCATGCTTCCATTGTGATCAACAAAATTGGATAATTAAGAATTATTTCTACCTTGGAAGAGCTAACAATATAGAAGGAAGAAGAACACATGTACTCATACCCAATAATACCTGTCCTCACACAGGGAATATCTAAAGTGATATGGTAATCTATAAAGAGAAGATATGTGGAATAAAAATATAAGTTTTCTTTTAATTAGTGATTAATCTGAACCTTGAGGGATGTATAGAATCACACATGAAGAATGTAAAGCAGGAGGGGAAAATATGTGGCAAACGCTGGGCAATGCCCCACTAATGCATGGTCCTTCCATCTTCCATACCCATGATGGTCATTACTAGTCGATCATTGCAATCTCTTGCTGACCTGGTTTTGAGCATCAGAATCCTTCTCAACATAGACCTACTCATTGCCACAATGAGCAGAACAGTCATATAAGATGAAATCTATTTGCCATCCCTGGTGTAAGATAAAACACACAGATGAATAAAGAAATATGAGAAAAGTAAACAGTACAGTTTGGCAGGAGAGGCTATAAAGGAGTAACAGAATACAAATATGAAAATTTACATTAAAGCCAGGTCATGGAGTGCTAGAGTGACCTGAATGCATTAACAAATTTGGATTCTTTCCTATTCCTTACTGCCTAGCAAATGAGGCTCAGTGTTAAATATCACTCTGTGCATGTATGTGAAATGAAAAGGTTCTACCTTATAACTTTCTCCATCAAGGGAGAGAAATACAGTTGAGACAGTATACGACAGAGGTTGACAAGGCAGATGTGGCATAAGGACAAGAGATAAGAACAATTTTAGGTGCTGGTAATAGCCTTGTTGATAGAGTTGATTGTGGATCTGAGAAAGGAATCAAGGGAGCTAATGGGTTAGAATATGGGTGTTGAGAAATCAGAAACCACAAAAAAGGTTAAGTACAGGTTCAGTAAGAGTGAGTGAAG
This sequence comes from Homo sapiens, assembly GCF_000001405.40. Classification (NCBI taxonomy): domain Eukaryota; kingdom Metazoa; phylum Chordata; class Mammalia; order Primates; family Hominidae; genus Homo; species Homo sapiens. Next base: position 197,842,602 of record NC_000002.12, on the reverse strand, counting down.
AGAAAACAGAATTATGATGAACAGACAAATGAGATAAGAGAGATTCAAAGTTCTCAATTTTGAAGCTGGAACATTAGTTCCCAGAGATTATATGACCCTTTGAGAGACAGTGTTTAGAGGTGCTGATGGGGGATGGCAATTTTGAGGAATAAGATCGTGAATAAGAATAATAAAACTAAAGAGTGTGAGAGAGTCCTGGAGGTCAGTGGAAAACATTAATGTGGATGAGAAAAGTCAGAATGTCAGCTGTCCACCAGCCTCCAGAGAAGAGTAGGGTTCCCAGAGATGGCACTGGAACAAGAGTTTAAAGCTTTAGAAGGAGGCATCAAGGAGAAGTGTGCTCAACCTTTCTCCTCAAAACTGGAATGAGGGGTAGGAGAATAAACAACACTATTGAAAGATCATGTAAGGGGCAGGTAGGCTATGGTTATAGGGAAAGATAGGAGGAATGATAAAGAAAAAGGCAAGAATGTAGGGGAGTTTTGACACAAAATTTAACAGGCATTCCTAATGGGCAATCTTAGATCCTATGAGGCCAAACAAATCTGGACTTACTGAAGGCTTCATTTTTTCCCCCAGCTATTTTTTAAAACATAGGCTAAAACCTTCTGAGCAGTTTTTACCTAGAACAAGAATAGAGAAGGGAAGATCTTCCCTACATGTCTTCAATAAAACTAAGCTAATACATATAGCAATAGACCACTTAATTTCCAATCAATTGCAAGGGTCTCAGTTCTTAAAGGCATCACATCATTTCTGCTTCATTTTTCTTTCTTCAAATCCGCAAGTATTTACAGAACATCAGAAGTTACCTTGACATTTCTTACAAAACTAAACATGTCCTTACCATTTGATTCAGCAATTATACTTCTTGATATTTACCCAAATGAGTTAAAAACTACATTCACACAGAAGCCTACACACAAATGTTTATAGCAGTTTCATGCATAATTGCCAAAACTCAGAAGTAACCAAGATGTCCTTCAATAAGTGAATAAACAAACAAACTGTGGTACATCCATACAATGGAATATTATTCAGTGTCAAAAAGAAATGAGCTATCAAGCCACAAAAAGACATGGAGGAACTTTAAATGCACATTGCTAAGTGAAAGAAGCCAGTATGAAAACACTATACATAGTTGAGTCCAACTATATGACATTCTGAAAAAGGCAAAACTATGGAAACAGTGAAAAGACTAGTGGTTGTCAGGGGTTTGGAAGAGGGTGACAGGCAAAGCACAGGAGATTTTCAGGACGGTGCCACTACTCTGTATGGTGCTATAATGATAGATACATATTATTATACACTTGTCAAAACCCACAGAATGGACAACACAAAGGGTGAACCCTGATTTAAACTATGAATCTCTACCTATGGGTTCATGAAGAAAAAAAATAAAAAATAACTATGGGTCTCAATATATTGATATTGGCTTATCAAAGTAACAAATGTATCACACTAATGCAAGACATTAATTATAGGGGAAACTGCGGTGGGTTGGATATGAGGAGTATATGGGAATTCTCTGTACTTTCTGCTCAAATTTTCTGTAAATCTAAAACTTCTCTAAAAAGTAAAGTTTATGAACTTAAAAAAAAGTTAGCCCTGAAGTGTTGAAGAAATTTAACTACTTTCCAGGACTTTATTTCTGACTTACACCAAATTTTGAAATGTACTTCTATAGTCATAGGTAGCAGCTTTTTCCATGATCTTCCACTAGAAGATTAGTTGCATTCTGTTGTTTACTCACATGGCAAAGAAGTAGGCCATCTCCCTCAACTGATAAAACCAAACAAAGGGGACTATAAAGGAAGCTAGGGTGCTATGGTCCATTCGGCTTCCACGTATGAGGATCATTGGGCCACACATCAGCTTAAGAGTTGCACCCAGATCATGGCATCTGCCCTGCCCTTCCTTACTATGCATTCATTTTAGGAGCATTTATTCCTCCTATTTCTAAAGAAGATTATGCTGAGAGTAGGATTTGCCCTTTCATCAGGACTTATTTGAAATAAAATGGACCAGTTTGAGTCGTGCCAAAATGCCTTACCCACCCTCAGTCTCCCCACAACACACAAAGCGAAGTAGCTTGAAAGGGTGAGCTTCTGATGATGAAATGGAGAAGTTAGTGAACAAGCCTACATAAAAATTCAGGTTTGAAAACACATTTTTTCTCACGTATGTTTTATGTAGGCAGATTTCTAAAACTGACAATATTAAAATTATTTTCTCACCGAGAGGCATGCTATCTGCATTTTAATCAACCGATGAAGTTTTACAAAATCTCTAATGATGAAGTGCCTTCCTGACCAGACAGGGGAAAAGTAAATTGGGTGCAAAAGAGCTTCCATAGAAGGTGAAACAAACTCTTTTTAATTCATCTCAAAGCTTCAAGCTCTGTTTCAGAAATGCTGCCAAGTTTCAGGGTGAAATAAGGAAATTTCCCTTTCCCTCTAGCCAACTATTTCATTTACCCTTCTTAAGATACACTCTTTCCTTAGAAACATAGAATCTTTTATATTTAGAGATGACCTTGCACTTCCTACTATAATACTTGGTAGACAAGAGAATAGTCTTCCACTGCCAGGTTTTAAACAGTTCTTGTAGAGAAGAAAAATAAATTGAGCCAGAGTTACTGCTTACATTTATTTTCCTAGAATTCATCTCTAATGGGTATTTCTAGCTCACTCTCCAAAGATTAAAACCACAAAAGAAATGAAAAGGAAGCTTTAGAACATACTAATGCAGTTTTTAAAAAAGTAATAATAATATATGTGGGTTTGGCTAATGGGAAGCAAAAAATAAAAATCATATATGGATAATTTTGCTGAATAGTCTAATGGTCTTAAAGACTCTCTGGAGATATGAAATATGAAACCTGTTTCTTCTAACAACATTTTACTTGATCATGGACTGCATTCTTGAATTGAATATTAAGGTGGCTTGTTAGAATTATTATTTAGAAGAGGGGTCCCCAATCCCATGGCTACGGACCGGTGTCAGTCTGTGGCCCATCAGAAACTGCACGGCACAGCAGAAGGTGAGCTGCAGGTGAGCAACTGAGCATTAACAACTGAGCTCCACCTCCTGTCAGACCAGTGGCAGCATTAGATTCTCACAGGAGCTCGAATCTTATTGTGAACTGCACATGTGAGGGACCTAGGTTGCATGCCCCTTATGAGAAAATAACTAACGCCTGATGATCTGAAGTGGAAATTTCATCCTGAAACAATCCCCCCTTCCCTTGGAAAAATAGTCTTCCATGCAACCAGTCCCTGATGCTGAAAAGGTTGGGGACTGCTGATTTAGAGCATACATTTGTTTGACATAAACTGATTCCAGACTATTTCTAAAGGTTGTTTTCAAAGATTTTTGTAAAGGTACCCTGTTCAGATTTGACAGGGAGATATCAAATAGCAAAATCTTGTGTTAGTGAAATGTTTTTCTTTTTAAATATTTAGGGTAGTGTTGAGAATAACTGCTTTTCAAAAATAGATGTAAGAAGAAATAATGTGGTATTAAATTCTTCTTTTGTAAAAGTTGACAACGGCATGAAAGATTCAAAAACTGAACAGAGCAGATATATAAGGCAATACTTTTCCATTGAATAGTATTCAACATAAATGCATATGCACCAAAACAGTGTAAAAATTTCACAATTTTACTCATTGTCATATTTCTAAGATAAAGCAGGTTCCTAACAGAATTCTTAACAGTGATCTCTTTAGATAAATCAGAGAGAAAATTACAACTGAACCACTGATTCTACTGTGGGTCAGGATGGTGACCAGCTCTGGCTCATGGGCTTGACACATCCAGGCAGAACTAAGTCAGTTTTTCTGCAAATTCCCATCTCTTCCCCTGTGAAACGGGAAGTGTATCGAGGAGCTCCATTGCCACTCACCCTCTTAAAGTCAAATTTCAATCCTTTGTGATATATGTGTTTATATTTCCTTTGATTAGTGTCTCCAGAATGGTATAGAAATACCTAGCATACATGGAAAGCTATTAAAACTTTTTCAATTCATGATTTTTTTTCTAAAAGAAACTGAAAGCATACCGCATGTTATGTTCTTTGTGATCCAGTACTTTTCAAGTTAAAACATCATTCATTTCCTGAAAAATCCCAGCCTTAGTCTTCTCCAACACTAAAACTGAGGAAATCATAGCTGTCTAAATTTTTCTGCCACTACAGAGTAAAACTGAGATATTACTAAGAAAAGCATTTAGAACTCTTATGATTCATTAGTTGGTTAAGTGTTTTTCTTTGGAGAAGCTAAATGCTCTTCGAAAGCAGAATTACATGGGCCCTCCCATCTAAGTGAGGAAAGCATAAGGCAGTTTATAACACTCGACCTCTTGACATAGCCAAAGGGAAACTGAAACTCTAAAAGATGATTAGCTAGCATCACTAGAAATAACAGAACTCAAACAAACTGAGCTCCCAGGCGAGAGCTTCCTGAGAAACATGCCGCTCCCTTCAAGCCGAGAGCAAATGCTAGATATTTTCATCTTTAGCTTAACCTATCAATTTCAGCTGCTGAGGAAAGAAACTTTATACACCACATACAAATTTTAGAATGTAAAAATTATTAAACACACAGCTGAATTCAATATAGGAATGACTATTTGTTCTTTGAAAAAAAAATCACAGTTTATAGCAATCTTTGAAAAATGTAATTGGAAAAAAGGAGCCCCCAATTTCAAACAAATGCTGCTGTTTCGCTTCCCTGGTGATGCTAAATTGCATAATATTCTAACTGGATGCATATCTTCTTCTACTTTCAATATGCACCAAATGATTCCTATGATAATTAAGGATTAACATAGCTTTTGTAATAAAATCCCAAAATTTTTCCAGAAACCTAATTTTAGTTAACAATTTTACACACTAACTTTGTGCACTGAAACCAATCCACTCACTTAGTTGATTCAGTGGGTCACCCGCCAGTCATAACTAGATGCCTTTCTACAGGCCTGGCCCAATCCCGGCTCTCCATCCTTCATCCTTCAGTTCCCATCCTTAGCTTAGCCAAGTTGGATTTTTGATATCTATCTTCTCTGGAGAAAGTGGTGAAGATATATGACCTGAAGTCAGCTGATCTTGAGGCGCAATTCTAACATACTCCTGATGTCCTTCTTCCTTTAAGAAGCCACTGATTTCAAGAAAACGGCTAAGCAGACAGAGACCACAGAAAGAGGTAGCAACTGAAAACTATTGTCAAACTTGATTATTTTGTAGAATATTTAAAATATACTTACTATTTAGGGAGCAAAGTTTACAAATTGTACCAACATCTGCTTTTATCATTAATGCATATAAAACCCTTTATGTTGGATAGCATGCCAGTCTTTTGTCCTGAGATCCAGAGTCTCATTTAAATTAGGATATCCCATCTTCACCTCAAAGCCTAACTCGTCATTAGTCTCACAAACCCCATGACTCTGACCTTCTGAACCGCAACCTTAAACTTTAATGCACAAGTGGCCTCCCTTTCCAAGGAGACTCTAAATTCTTTCAGGGAAGAAATCATGATTTAGATTTTTTTTAATCTCTCACAAAAACTGATACTTAATACTTGACAGAATCTGCTCAATAAAGCCAGGCACAGTGGCTCATACCTATAATCCCAGCACTTTGGGAGGCCAAGGCAGGAGGATCACTTGAGTTTAGGAGTTCAACACCAGCCCGGGCAACACAGCAAGACTTCCATCTCAACAAAAACAACTTTAAAAAAATAAGCTATCTGTGGTAGACTGTGCCTGTAGGAGGATCCCTTAAGCTTAGGCAGTCCAGGCAACAGTGAGCCATGATCATGTCACTGCACTCCAGCCTGAGCAACAGAGAACCCATCTCTAAAAAAAGAGAAATTGCCCAGTAAATATTTTTCAATCAATACATTGGAAATAGTAAAATATGTAACTTAACAATATAGGAATTTCATTAATTTGCATAACTTGATTATTTGGGTAGTTTAAATACTCTTTGACTCCTGGAATACAGAAGACCTGTTTTAACAGAGCTAACAAAAATTTAGCAAGCTTAAGTTAAATCTCCTTTTATTTATTCTATATATTCTAAGACGGAAGTGACAGACAGTGAATTGAACAAAAGGTAAGGATTTTTTTTTTTTTTTTTTTTTTTTTTTTTTTGAGACGGAGTCTCGCTCTGTCGCCCAGGCTGGAGTGCAGTGGCGGGATCTCGGCTCACTGCAAGCTCCGCCTCCCGGGTTCACGCCATTCTCCTGCCTCAGCCTCCCAAGTAGCTGGGACTACAGGCGCCCACCACTACGCCCGGCTAATTTTTTGTATTTTTTTAGTAGAGACGGGGTTTCACCGTTTTAGCCGGGATGGTCTGGATCTCCTGACCTCGTGATCCGCCCGCCTCGGCCTCCCAAAGTAAAGGTAAGGATTTTTTACAAACAAAATAATTTTAATAGGAAAATTAGAGGATGATTTAAAAACTGGCCAAAAATAAAATTCATGAGTTAAATCATTACTTTGCTTTCTACTGGCAACAGCCAAAAAAATTTATTTCTATAGATATAGCAAAACATTGTTTAAAACTTCAGTTTATAAAATGCAACGACTTGTGATTTCTACTCTCCAAGGAAAAAAAATTCATTTGTAACATACCATGGACCAACCTGGGAAATAGGTAGATTTGAATTCACAATGACATACTATCATTACACTGTAGTAGTCTCACCGGCTCCTGCAGAAGTCATTAAAAAATTGTCCGACTGAAAAAAATGAGTTAATATTTTAAGAACAAAAATAAAATAAAATAAGAATACTTTGAGAACATTCTATATTTCTAATATCATTTATTAAATGCCTATTATGAGCCTGATGATTTACATACGTTGTCTCATGTAATTCTCACAACATCACAGTAAATTGCTAGTCCCATTTTAGAGGCGAAGAAACAGAGTCTCAGAGAAATCAAACAGTTTGGCCCAGATTACAAACTAAATATGACAGAAAGCGTTTGGCTCCAGTCCAAAATTTTTCCTACCATATCATGCTGCTCCTATTAATAGTGGATATCAAGTTTTGGCACTATTAAACATGGCCTTTGCAAACTCATAGAGACAGAAAGTATAACGATGGTTGCCAGGAATGGGGAGGGGTGGAATATGAGGAGTAATTGGCAGGGTCAGTTTGGGATGACGAAAATGTTATGGACCTGTATACTGGGAATATAACAATGTGAATATACTAAATGTCACAAAACTATCTACTTAAAAATGGTTAAAATGGTAAAAATTTCTGTTATGCACATTTTAACACTATGGTTTTTTTATTATACTTTATGTTCTAGGATACATGAGCAGAATGTGCAGTTTGTTACATAGTTACACACATGCCATGGTGGTTTGCAGCACCCATCAACCCGTCATCTACATTAGGTATTTCTCCTAATGCTATCCCTCTCCTAGGCTCCCACCCCTGACATACCATTGTGTGATGTTCCCCTCCCTGTGTCCATGTGTTCTCATTGTTCAACTCACACTTATGAGTGAGACCATGTGGTGTTTGGTTTTCTGTTCCTGCATTACTTTGCTGAGAATGATGGTTTCCAGCTTCATCCATGTCTCTACAAAGGACATGAACTCATCCTTTTTTATGGCTACATAGTATTCCATGGTATACATGTGCCACATTTTCTTGATCCAGTCTATCATTGATGGACATTTGGGTTAGTTCCACGTCTTTGCTATTGTGAATAGTGCTGCAATAAACATACGTGTGCATGTGTCTTTACAGTAGAATGATTTACAATCCTTTGGGTATATACCCAGTAATGGGATTGCTGGGTCAAATGGTATTTCTGGCTCTAGATCCTTGAGGAATTGCCACACTGTCTTCCACAATGGTTGAACTAATTTACACTCCCACCAACAGTGTACAAGCGTTCCTATTTCTCCATATCCTCTGCAGCATGTGTTGTTTCCTGACTTTTTAATGATCGCCATTCTAACTGGCGTGAGATGGTATCTCATTGTGGTTTTGATTTGCAATTCTTTAATGACCAGTGATGACAGGCTTTTATTCGTATGTTTGTTGGCCACATAAATGTCTTCTTTTGAGAAGTGTCTGTTCATATCTGTCACCCACTTTTTGATGGGGTTGTTTTTTTCTTGTAAATTTGTTTAAGCTCTTTGTAGATTCTGGATATTAGCCCTTTGTCAGATGGCTACATGGCAAAAATTTTCTCCCATTCTGTAGGTTGCCTGTTCACTCTGATGACAGTTTCTTTTGATGTGCAGAAGCTCTTTAGTTTAATTAGATCCCATTTGTCAATTTTGGCTTTTGTTGCCATTGTTTTGGTGTTTTAGTCATGAAGTCTGTGCCCATGCCCATGTCCTAAATGGTATTGCCTAGGTTTTTTATGGTTTTAGGTATTATGTTTAACTCTTTAATCCATCTTGAGTTAAATTTTGCATAAGGTTTAAGGAAGGGGTCCAGTTTCAGTTTTCTGCATATGGCGAGCCAGTTTTCCCAACACCATTTATTAAATAGGGAATCTTACCCCACTGCTTGTTTTTGTCAGGTTTGTCAAAGATCAGATGGCTGTAGATGTGTGGCATTATTTCTGAGGCCTCTGTTCTGTTCCACTGATCTATATATCTGTTTTGGTACCAGTACCATGCTGTTTTGGTTACTGTGGCCTTGTAGTACAGTTTGAAGTCAGGTAGCATGATGCCTCCAGCTTTGTTCTTTTTGCTGGGGATTGTCTTGGCTATACCAGCTCTTTTTTGGTTCCATATGAAATTTGAACCAGTTTTTTCTAATTCTGTGAAGAAAGTCAATGGTAACTTGATAGGAATAGCACTGAATCTATAAATTACTTTGGGCAGTATGGCCATTTTCACTATATTGATTCTTCCTATCCATGAGCATGGAATGTTTTTCCACTTGTTTGTGTCCTCTCTTATTTCCTTGTAGTCCTCCTTGAAGAGGTCCTTCACATCCCTTGTAAGTTGTATTCCTGTGTATTTTATTCTTTTTGTAGCAGTTGTGAATGGGAGTTCACTCATGATTTGGCTCTCTGTTTGTCTATTATTGGTGTATGGGAATGCTTGTGATTTTTTGCACATTGATTTTGTATCCGTAGACTGCTGAGGTTGCTTAGCAGGTTAAGGAGATCCTGGGCAGAGAAGATGGGGTTTTCTAAATATACAATCATGCCATCTGCAAACAGAGACAACTTGATGTCCTGTCTTTCTATTTGAATATCTTTATTTATTTCTCTTGCCTGATTGCCCTGGCCAGAACTTCCTATGTTGAATAGGAGTGGTGAGAGAGGGCATCCTTGTCTTGTGCCGATTTTCAGATGGAATGCTTACAGCTTTTACCCATTCAGTATGATATTGGCTATGGGTTTGTCATAAATAGCTCGTACTATTTTGAGATATGTTCCATCAATACCTACCTTATTGAGAGTTTTTAGCCTGAAGCTGCCTCCCGGGCTCAAGTGATTCTCTGCCTCAGCCTCCTGAGTAGCTGGGATTCCAGGCACATGTCACCATGCCTAGCTAATTTTTGTATCCTTATTAAGGACAAGGTTTCACTCCTGACCTCATGATCTGCCGGCCTTGGCCTCCCAAAGTGCTGGGATCACAGGCGTGAGCCACCGCACCTGGCCAAATTTTATCGAAGGCCTTTTCTGCATCTATTGAGATAATCATGTGTTTTTTGTCATTGATTCTGTTTATGTGATGGATTACATTTATTGATTTGTGTATGTTGAACCAGCCTTGCATCCCAAGGATGAAGCTGACTTGATTGTGGTGGATAAGCTTTTTGATGTGCTGCTGGATTTGGTTTGCCAGTATTTTATTGAGGATTTTCGCATTGATGTTCATCAGGTATACTGGCCTGAAATTTTCTTTTATTGTTTTGTCTCTGCCAGGTTTTGGTATCAGGATGTTGCTGGCCTCATAAAATGAGTTAGGGAGGAGTCCCTCTTTTTCTATTGTTTGGAATAGTTTCAGAAGGAATGGTACCAACTCCTCTTTGTATCTCTGGTAGAATTTGGCTGTGAATCTGTCTGGTGCTAGGCTTTTTTTGGTTGGTAGGTTATTAATTACTGCCTCAATTTCAGAACTTATTGGTCTATTCAGGAATTTGACTTCTTCCTGGTTTAGTCTTGGAAGGGTGTATGTGTTCAGGAATTTACGTATTTCTTCTAGAATTTCTAGTTTATTTGCGTAGAGGTGTTTATAGTATTCTCTTATGGTAGTTCGTATTTCTGTGGGATCGGTGGTGATCTCCCCTTTACCATTTTTTATTGTGTCTATTTGATTCTTCTCTCTTTTCTTCTTTATTAGTCTGGCTAGCCATCTATCTATTTTGTTAATCTTTTCAAAAAAACAGTTCTTGGATTCATTGATTTTTTGAAGGGTTTTTTGTGGCTCTATCTCCTTCAGTTCTGCTCTGATCTTAGTTTTTCTTGTCTTCTGCTAGTTTTCAAATTTGTTTGATCTTGCTTCTCTAGTTCTTTTAATCGTGATGCTGGGGTGTCGATTTTAGATCTTCCCCACTTTCTCCTGTGAGCATTTAGTGCTATAAGTTTCCCTCTAAACACTGCTTTAGCTGTGTCCCAGCGATTCTGGTACATTGTGTCTTTGTTCTCATTGGTTTCAAAGAACTTATTTATTTCTGCCTTAATTTTGTTATTTACCCAGTAGTCATTCAGGTTGTTCAGTTTCCATGTAGTGCGGTTCTGAGTTTCTTAATCATGAGTTCTAATTTGATTGCACTGTGGTCTGCGTGACTGTTTCTTATTATTTCCGTTCTTTAGCATTTTCTCAGGAGTTTTATTTCCAATTATGTGGGCAAATTTAGAATAAGTGCTATGTGGTGCTGAGAAGAATGTATATTCTGTTGATTTGGGGTGGAGAGTTCTGTAGATGTCTATTAGGGCTGCTTGGTCCAGAGCTGAGTTCAAGTCCTGAATATATTTGTTAATTTTCTGTCTCGTTGATCTGTTGAATATGGACAGTGGGGTGTTAAAGTCTCCTACTATTATTGTGTGGGAGTCTAAGTCTCTGTGTAGGTCTCTAAGAACCTGCTTTATGAATCTGGGTGCTCCTGTATTGGGTGCATATATATTTAGGATAGTTAGCTCTTCTTGTTGCATTGATCCCTTTACCATTATATAATGCCCTTCTTTGTCTTTTTTGATCCTTGTTGGTTTAAAGTCTGTTTTATCAGAGACTAGGATTGCCACCCCTGCTTTTTTTTTCCTTTCCATTTGGTTGGTAAATATTCCTCCATCTCTTTATTTTGAGCTTATGTGCGTCTTTGCATGTGAGATGGGTCTCCTGAATACAGCACACTGATGGGTCTTGACTGATGGGTCCAATTTGCCAATCTGTGTCTTTTAATTGGGGTATTTAGGCCATTTAAATTTAAAGTTAATATTGTTTTGTGTGAAATTGATCCTGTCATTATGATGCTAGCTGGTTATTTTGCCCATTAGTTGATGCAGTTTCCTTATAGTGTCAATGGTCTTTACAACTTGGCATGTTTTTGCAGTGGCTGGTACTGGTTTTTCCTTTCCGTATTTACTGCTTCCTTCAGGAGCTCTAGTAAGGCAGGCCTGGTGGTGACAAAGTCTCTCAGCATTTGCTTGTCTGTAAAGGATTTTATTTCTCCTTCATTTATGAAGCTTAGTTTGGCTGGATATGAAATTCTGGGTTGAAAATTCTTTAAGAATGTTGAATATCAGCCCTCACTCTCTTCTGGCTTGCATGGTTTCTGCAGAGAGATCCTCTGTTAGTCTGATGGGCTTCCCTTTGTGGGTAACCCGATCTTTCTCTCTATCTGCCCTTAACATTTTTTCCTTCATTTCAACCTTGGTGAATCTGATGATTATGTGTCTTGGGGTTGCTCTTCTCGAGGTGTATCTTTGTGGTATTCTCTGTATTTCATGAATTTGAATGTTGGCCTGTCTTGCTAGGTTGGGGAAGTTCTCCTGGATAATATCCTGAAAAGTGTTTTCCAACTTGGTTCCATCCTCCCCATCTCTTTCAGGTACACCAATCAAATATAGGTTTGGCCTTTTCACATAGTCCCATATTTCTTGGAGGCTTTGTTCATTCCTTTTCATTCTTTTTTCTCTAATTTTGTCTTCACACTTTATTTAGTTAAGTCGATCTGCAATCTCTGATATCCTTTCTTCTGCTTGATCGATTCGGCTAGTGATACTTTTGTATGTTTCACGAAGTTCTCGTGCTGTCTTTTTCAGCTCCATCAGTTCATTTATGTTCTTCTCTAAACTGGTTATTCTAGTTAGCAATCCCTCTAACCTTTTTTCAAGGTTCCTAGCTTCCTTCCATTGGGTTAGAACATGCTCCTTTAGCTTGAAGGAGTTTGTTATTACCCACCTTCTGAAGCTTACTTCTGTGAATTCGTCAAACTCATTCTCCATCCAGTTTTGTTCCCTTGCTGGCCAGGAGTTGTGATCCTTTGGAGGAGAAGGGGCATTCTGGTTTTTGGAATTTTCAGCTAAGTCATTTTAACCATTCTCAAAAGCATATTTTTAACTAATGGGGCTTACGATGTGATGTTTTCATCTTTATATTTAAGAGGTTCCAGTTTCAAGGTATTTTGTGACTGTTAGATTTCATTTATTTATACTTGTAAATGAGTAAATGTAGATCATGAATTATTACAAGATTTCATATGTAATCCCTGCCTAATTATTAATGAGGGCTAAGTCATAAAAGGCAACCACTGTCACTCATGGGAAAAAATATGTCCCATAGCATGCAAAGAGCACTGGATGACTGATGGCTACAGCAGAAGAGACCAAGGCCAGCCAAGCTAAAGAAACAACCAGAGCAATGTGCCACTCCAAACTATGGCTGCTTCCCAGTTGCATAGCACAAACACAGTAATTCAGCCTTAACAAGAAAATGAAAGGCAAATCACTATTAATCATAAAGCAAACAAAAACATTTGGTGAAACTAATGAATACTACTTATAATAGAACAGCAAAAATCTACATGTTTTTTGAAAATTCTCATCAAAAATGCCTCTTTTAAAAAGAAGAAAATTAATTTATTAAATAAGTTAATTTCTTAACATAAAATTTAAAAATGGATTTTAATAATTTTAACGATGCATAAATTCAACATAATACAGTATGAAATAGTGTGTAATGTTGCAATTGAATTACTTTTAATTTCACAAACACCAATATGAGAGGTGGTGATAGGGCACGGCTCTTAAAGCTAGCTCTCTAAGTTCACGTACTAGCTTCAAATATGATTTACTAGCTGGGTAACCAAGATATTCTTTATTTGATTCTGGAGGAACTTAGGGAAGAAATTCTGTTTCATTAGAAAAATCTGTTTCTTTACTATTACCTATAGTCTACCCAATCACATACAGCTAGGGTTGCCAGATTTAACAAATAAAAACACAGGATGCTCACTTAAATTTGAATTTTAAATAAACAATAAATAATTTTGCCTAAATTGTACTAAAAACTTATGTACTGTTTATCTGGAATGCAAATTTGACTGCATGCCTTGCATTTTGTCTGGCAACCACCTACAGCAACTCTGCTAATACTATACTTACTATTTTTCATTATTTTTAGTGAGCACACCATAACAATAGTGTCATAAATCATGCTTTGTGCTATATGGCATGTAATTACACAATCAGCTGGCAGCCTGTGTAAAGAACTGCAATGGATTCAAGAGGATTCCTAACTTTTGAGTTAAAGTGGTAACCATTTATGGAATTGTTTTAAGACAGTTAAAGACATTCTGTTTCAATCTGTTCTTGATATGTTTCCTAAGGGGACATAACAGCTTTTAGTATTTGCTTTTACCCAAATGGCAATGACTGGAATATTCGATTATGGATTTATGTATACAATTATAAAATTGATCTCAGCAATCAAGTTTCTGCCCACATAAGCATATTTCACATCACTATATGGATACTTTTACAAAATTTCCTTTGACATTGCAAAGGTATAAGTTTTAAAAGATTTGTTCTAAACTTCAAAATTAGCATTATTGAATATTTTTTCAAAAGCCACACTTGATTGTTAAATTATAATAATCCAAGCATAAGAATTTTTAAATCCTATGTTAAATAACAATTCTGTAATCTAATATAGATATATGAATTAGCAAAAAATCAAAACTTTGACTACAATTTAAAATCACAAAGACATTAAATAAAATGTTTTGTGCTTTTTACTGTTAGTAAAACAAGTTTTGAACTCAAAGGTAATTTTGATCATCAAAACGTCTCAATAATATAAGTTTTCTATGTGGCATTTATACTATTTCAAAGCAATTTGACAACAGTTATCCCGTGAACCAACCAACCTCTTGCAAATGGTTTTATCAAATAAAACATAATTAATATAAACACCAGTGAAATACTGATATTTACAAAAGATCTATTTACTCCAAACTAATGAAAATGAATCTTCCAACCCAAATTATAAAAAGAAAAAGAAAAACTATAATAACAAACTTTTTTCTATTCATCTCTAAAACATGACCTAAATGATTCAATCTCAAGTTATCAACAGTATTTGTAATACTAGACAATAAAAAGTTAGCAAAATGATATTTTATTTCATGTCTTATAAAAAACATATTTGCTAATCTGTGAGAGTAATAGAAACATAGACTCTTGACCATGTTAAGATAAAGATCAGTAAGCTAAAACAGAAAACAGTTACATTCCCTGTGAGTCATCATATTCCATTGACTAAAAATCACAATTTAAGGAAATTCTGTAGCCAACTGAACACTTAACAACAGTGCTATGACCATTTGGGGGACTTTGGAAAACAATGTAAATCTTGAAGAGCGAATATCTGGCAACTTTTCTAAACTAGATCATAATCTCAGGAAATGATAAATTTAAGATCCAACAGAGTACTTTTTTAATGCTACACTGAATTATTTTTCAAAACCAACCCAAAAATACGTTTTTCAAAAGTTGAATGGATTTATTTTTTAACCTTTATCATGATATCCACTTTGTTGACAACACCTAGATTATATCCTCTTGTCGACTCTGAGCTTCTCTCTCTTCCAATCTCCCTTGTTTAATGCTCCTAAAAACATTTTTCCCAGCTGTGCCAGTTTCGAAGAAAGCACATTTAGAAAAATAAGAATAGCCAACATATATTGAGCAACTATGAGCAGGGCACTATGCCTATATATATATATACACATATATATTTATATGCATATATACACACAGTGTCATCTCATAAACTGGAATGTGAGAAGTAGGAAGTGGTAGGAATTGGAACTGGAAGAAAAAGCGGGCTCCACATTGCACTGGGCCTCCTGACCCACGTAAAGGGATTTGCACATTATTCCTAGGACAATGAGAAGTCATCAAAAACTTTTAAGGAAGAAAATGATGCAGTTGGATTTGCCATTTAGAAATAATACTCTAGCTACTACTCTGGAGAATTAATCAGGCAAAAGAAAATGGCTGGAGGCAGAACTACCATGTGGGAAGATGCCACAATGATACAGGCCAAGCTAGTGGCCTGAACTAGTGTAGCAGTGAGAACTATTTAGTAGGTAGACCCAAGAAAACATGGTGATACATTGGATATGATAGAAGAGGGGAAAAAGGAGACAAAGATGACATCCAGATTGCTAGCAAGGGCAACTGAGGATAGTGGTGCTATTCATGAGATGAAAAACGAGAAGGAAAAATCTAGGAACTTGGAAATATCCAGCAAACAGATATCCAGGCCTAGGTATATTCACTCATTCAATAAACATTTTTAAGCACCTGGCTTGGAGCTCAGCTCTATACTATACTTCTGTTACAGCACCTATATTCTATTTGGGCTTACAGTTTTAATACATTGGGTATTGTGCATGTCTGCCTCACCTTCGAATCTCTATATTGCAAATATAGTCTTGTCATGAATGCTAGAAGCATCAATGAACAGATGAATGAACGAATCGGTCATTAAAAGTAACTTTGCCAAATGTATTATAGTGTAAAAAGAATTGATTAGCATTGCCAAAAAGGCTGTTAGTAGAGTTAAATTTCAATGGCCTTGGATCCACAACAGAGATATTAAGCATACATTTAAAGATTTAACATAAAACATTAAATAGTAAGAGAAAAGGTCCACATTCTTCCTCATCTTCACATATAAATCAATTATATATCAACTCAATTTTCAATATTTGAAGGAAAGAGTCAAAATCTATCAGAATTAAGAAATTCCTTTATATATAATCACCTAAAGAACATTGTTTTCATTTTAGTTGTATCTCACAGGATGAAGCGTAGGTAGATGATAGGCCACCCATGCCAGATGTGGTCCATATTCACAAACATTCACTTATGCTATTGTGAACGAGGTATCTCAAGATAGCAGATGGGTAGTCTGACTAAATACATGTCATACATGGTTTGATTAAGAGATAGCGGCAGCCGATAGGACTGCTTCTCATACACCAGTCCACTGCTGTTGTGAGGCTCAGTGAAAAGCCTCCGAGAAGGAAATACTGGCAGGTACAACTGCTAGGAAAGTATATAGACCCTGTCGTAAAATTATGTAGTGAATTACCGACTTTTCATTAGTAGCCAATGGACAGTGTCTTTATTAGAGGAACTGCTAGATAAATGGATTGTCAAGTCCATTTTTTTAGGCACAGCCTAAAATATTTCTAAAATATATAACAGATATATTGCATTATTCACCTGCAAGCCTTATGGCAAACTTGTGGGATAGGCATTAAAATTCCCATTTTACCAATGAAGAAACTGAGGCTCAGGAAAAATTTTATGATCACACAGTTAGAAAGTAGCAAAAATGAGATTCCAGGATCCCAGATCAAATTCTCAAATCTGTGTCCTCTTACCTGCCCACGCTGTCTCTCAAAGACTTAAGTTCCTGTTAAGGAAAGCGAACCTAGCAATGGTAGACTACATTAACTCAGGGCAAGATTCCCTTAAGGAAGGTAGAAGAGAATGAGTTGTCTTGGTTTAGTTTGGGTGAGAGATGGGAGATAAATCAAGTACATGCTTAGCACTTAGTAGGAGCTACAGAAGATGCAAGAAAAGTCTAAAATGTGGTCCCTTTCTTCATGGAATTGGTAGGAGACACTGTAATTTCCCACTGTTTATAGGATAGTTTCTAACTTATATCATCCTTGTGAAAATCAAGGTTATAGCTGATTAGCTAAAAGAATACTGCCTATGCCTTCTACTGAAAGAGCTTGTAGCCTTAAAACTTCCAGGAACACTGGCTCCATTTTACTGTGGTACTAGGACTGGGTCCAGTGTCATACAGCAGCTGAATTTCAGAGTGAATCCATGATTGGCTTGCACAAAGATTACAGCCAAAATTCCAATTCTTTCAGAATGCTTTCATAAAGAAAGCTATGTTTAAATCTAATAGGTATAAAGAAAGAAGCAGAAAAATGTTATATTCATTATATCCTCCTCCACCCACTGACTTGTGTCTTACCCACGAGAACCTGGCAGGTGACAAACACCTAAGGCAAAAAACCAGAGACACCTCTGATTTTCAGCATGCTTGGTCAAAAAACCTGCAGAAAAAAAAGGCAATATTGCTTCCTTAACCAAATTATTACTTATAATAAAATGAGTAATAGCTGCCAATTTTATGGTTCACCCCTTTCCTTAATTTTAAGGTTTTATTTTAAGACCAGTCATTACTTATTTAAGGCCCCTGCCTTTACAGAGCATCGTTTTGGACCACAAAACTGAACAGCTCGAAAGAGTTCTGGCTTTTAAGGAATTTACAGTCTAACAAGAAAGACAGACTCATAAACAAACAAGCTGAATATCTGAGTAGGAGTCAGACATGTTTTTTTTTTTTTTTTTTTTTTGAGACAGGGTCTCGCTCTGTTGCCCGGGCTGGAGTGCAGTGGCACAATCATAGCTCACTGCAGCCTCAACCTCCTGAGCTCAAGCAATCCTCCCATCTCAGCCTCCAGAGTAAATGGAGCTATAGGCATGCACCACCACACCTGGCTAATTTTTGTATTTTTTGTACAGATGGGGTCTCACTATGTTTCCCAGGCTGCTCTTGAGGTCCTGGGCTAAAGTGATGCTCCCACCTCAGCTCCCCAAAGTGTTTGGATTACAGACTGATTTTTTAAATACTTAAGTTTTCATTCACGTTTTGCATATAGCACAAATTTTACCAAAATGGCCATAATTCCAGGGTGAAAAAAAAAAGGAGTATGAAGTCATCAGCTGTAACAGGACTTTTGCTCAGTAAAAAGCAAAATTCAAAGATGTCATTGAATTGTAAGGTGCAATCAGTTTGGACAAGTTAAGAAAGTTATTCTAACAGATGCCTTCACAGAGTTTTAGGTGTCTCTTAAGTCTGAGTTTGTGTCAAGATGAGAATTATGAGGACTTTTCTAAAATTTCAATCAACTTGAAGCAAGGAAAAAAAACCATTATATATTGTTCATTAATATGAAATTTTAGATAAAAGAATGACCAAAACCAAGGACACAAATATATCAAAACCAAGGACACAATATAGTGTCAAATTCTGTAAGTACTTAAAAATCATTTGCTGAATTAAATTGAGCTATGCTAAATTCATATATAGCTCATTCTTTTACTCTAGAATTTGAGGAAAGTGGAGACCACTTTTAAACAAACTTGACCCTTTCGTAAAAATTGTGCTTTTGTTTGTCAAGAAAGAACAGAGAGAGTGACAATTATACATACTGAGGAGTGGTTTACAGAACTTTTTTGGAAGAAATTTGAAGCGTAAAACAAGTAACTACTTACTATATCAACTCAAATCAAAGTTTCTGGGCATTTTTCTTTGTAATACTGCAAGAAATTAGAGAAAATCAATGATGACCAATATGAACAGAGACACTGGAACTGCCCCATCTACCAGAAAGATGACCATCACAACTCCAACCTGGTTAGATATGGCAGCCAAAAGACAAGGTTTGCTCCATGACTCAAACATACCATTTTATTCAAAGCCCTCTATGATCAAAGTCTTAAGAATTACTATTTCTTTATTTCTTCATATCTGAGAAGTCCTGACAATTCTTTCAAAACTAGCCTCAGATTTTATTTTCCTATTTCCAAATAATAATAATTAACATTCATTGACTATCTACCTTGTATCAACCATTTAGGTAAGCACTCTACATGAATTCTCTCATTTAAATCCTCCCAAAAACCACCAACCACATATATATATATAGAGAGAGACAATCAGTATTCCAATTCTGGCAGTCCAATTCTAGGGCCTTTTAATGGTAGTGCTATACCACCTCTTAGATCTAGCACTTAATTCTAGAAACTTCTAGCCATTCTCCTAATCCCTAATTTATTTCTACTGTTTCACATAGTTATTAAGAAAATTATCTTTAAGCTGGGGGCAGTGGTACATGCCTGTAATCCCACCACTTTGGGAGGCCAAGATGGGAGGATCACTTGAGCCCAGGAGTTCAAGACCAGCCTGGAGAGCCCATCTCTTAAAAGGAAAAATAGAAAATCATTTTTAACTGATTTTTTACCTATGATTTTTACCTATAATTGCTTCCCTATTGAAGAAAAGTACAACGGCTTTATACATCATATTAAATTGAATCCAGCTGCCATATCAAGCCTACCTTTGGTGAACTCATCATATCCTCTCAAATTCAGGAGCATAGTGTCTTAATATAAAGACAACTTTGCTGAACTGTGGTCAATGGAATATGTATTTTTTTCCAGAAAAACAATTCTCCTGATGGTTACATTTGTAGAAATACAGGATCCAAAAGAAGGAAGGTAAAACAGCCCACTACAGTGGACCACAGTGCATCTGGCATAGCAACCAGTGTTGAGGCCTAGGAACACCATTTCAAATGAAACACTGACAAATCAGAACATGCCACTTACTGTGTGAATCTGGGCAAATACTTAACCTGTCTGTGCTGCAACTTCCTCATCCATGAAATGGGGTAGACAGTCCCTACTTCATAAGACTAGTAAGAATTGGTAAGAGTTAATACACATAAAGTGCTTAGAACAGTGTCTGGAACATGGTAAGCACCCAATAAATGTCAGGGGTTATTTATTATAGTGGGAGTGTGGGAGGAGACACCCACGTAACTCCCTTCAAATATGTCAAGAGCTGTCATGTGAGAACTTAAACTTACTCTTTATAGCTCCTGAAGGTAGAAATAGGACTGCCTAAGGAAAGTGTCAGAGAATAACTTGATTTGGGCTCAACGTAAGAATTTTTTCAAACGACAAAAGCAGACTGAAAATGAAATTGGCTCCCTAGTAAGGGAGGCAACTCCCTGCTGACTGGAAGCAAATTCTGCACATCTAGAAGGGTTCCTGCCCTAGTGTGGTTAACTGCAAAATGACCTCCAAAGGCTCTCCTAAAAGTTCACCACAGGATCTTTCAGACAGCATGTGGCACACAACAGTTACTCAAGGCATCCTAAGTTGTTCTTGCTTGGAGTTTATCTATGATTCACATATGGTATACATTTGAAAGTCAGGATAAAAAGTGCAGTCCATGTCTGTGAGACATCATTTTGAAGCCAACTGGCTCATACAGACAGACCCTAGTAGCACATGAGCCGTGTTCTGGTCAATTTTCCTAACCAGGTTAAACAATGTGAACCCCAAAACAGAATAATGTCTGATTCCCTCCTATTACAAAACACTTTGGTCCCTTCTCCAAATTAAGAATATATCCCACGACTAACTGTTTTAACCTTAACAAAAACTTACAGTCTCCTCTTGTTCATTTTACCAATAGAATCTCCTAATCTCTACCTAAGCACATGGCCATCCTGATAAAGACTACATTTTCCAGCCTTCTTTGCAGCTGGGTATGGCCATATGACCACTGGGCCAATGGGCCAGTGGGATATGAACAGAAGTGGCATGTGAAACTTATGGGTCACTTCCTTAAAAAGAAACTAATTGCTCTCCACTTTCCTCATCCCCCTTCTTATGAAATAGAAGGCAAATGTGGTGATAGGCCATTTTCATCAAAGGGACAAGCCAACATCTTAAGGGGTGGCCCAAAAAGAAGAGCAAAAAATCTGGATCCCTGAATTACTTTACGGAGCAGAGACACCTACCTGATTTGTAATAACCTGCTTAGTGTTGCTTATTAAAGAAATAAACTATCTTGTTTGAGCCACTATGTGCAGGGATCTCTTTGTCAGAGCGACATAGCCTCCCATCAGATGAAAGTATTTATAAATATGGAGAGTGGACCTCTTCACTTCAAAAGCTCAGAAGTTCATGTATAAATATTCTCAGCTAAATTCCTCCTTTAAAAAAGATTTTTATAGTGAAATTTTAAGTTCAGATGTAGATCAAGCCAACTATCTAAAGCAAACAATACTTTGGAGGGCTGAGTACCACCACCAGTGATATACTTCCTGAACACTGAAAAACAGAATGGTTTATAAAGGAAAAGACCCAAATGATAGGGGGAAAAAAGAGAACTTGAAGAAAACTACAAAGACAGTCCTTGTGGGTTATAGCACCGTGATCCTTACAGGGACAAGACAAATAATCTACCTTAATCATCTACTTGATCTTTAAAATGCTTAAGCCATTTTCAAATGTAAGACCTAAATATCAAAATTGAAACCATTAATAAGAATACAGAAAGGCTTCAAACATAATCAGATAAACACAGTTAAGCTTTAATGTCCATACGAAGCTTCAGAGCAATGTTTCTGTAGCTTGTAAAAAAGCAAATTCTTTAAAAGATAGTAAGGTATTAGGCACAGTGGGTAAAGAACTTAAATCACAGTTTTGCTTTCTCCAGATTTTTCTTGAAGAAGTTCAGAACAGCAAAAATATCCACTTCAGAATTTTCATTTTATGTAAATAAATATCTAATATCTACATCTAGACAGTTTTAAATTTTGATTTCAACTTTTTATCTTATTTAATACCACTAAGCCCACCACATTCTCAGTTGATCCCAATGTCAGCAGAAAGTATTGCTTTTCTCTTCTGGCTTTTAACAGGCTTCATGCAATGAAAAATATTCCATAACCTGGTCTTGTTATCCATGAAACCAGATTGCAACTGATTCCCTATGATGTGAGCTTATATGGAAATCACACTTTGATACAAGCAGTGCTAAGAAAACTGGGCTTTGTTCTTATTTTAATATCTTACACTGCCATACAGGCTGGCATACATACCCCATTACACTGACAATGCACAGAGGAACACAATAAATGACTCTAGAACTATAAGATAATAAATCTGTGCTGTTTTAAGCCACTAAGTTTGTAGCAACTTATTACAGCAGCAACAAGAAACTAATACTTGGGGTTGCTGACATGTAAGTTTTGAAGAGTCAGAAGCCCAAAACCCAGCCCTAGGAGTTGTGCCAAAACAACTACTTCAGATCCATTGCTTTTTCTTAGATCCTTCCTACTTCCAACTTAAATGAAATAACATATATGCACCTAACTCAATAAACGGTGGTTGCTTTTATTGCAAAACAATCCAGGGTTTAACTACCTTAACTTTTGTTTTTCTGCTCAGCTCCATTCCAGCCAGATGAATATATTCTGAAATCATTGTTCGTTTTTTCAGGTTGCAGGTTTGGAAGACAAAAGAAAATGAAGAGTAAAAGTATACCTTCCCCCAACCCTACTACATACACACACACACACACACACACACACACACACACACATGCATAATAGTGAGCCTTGGCTTCCTCATCTCTAAGGTGGAAGTGATAATGATAGCTACATGTCTTCCCAGACTGTTGTAAGAATTGAAGATATTGTAAGATCTTGACAATGGTGTGCTCATTATTATTCTATAACATGAACGCTTGAAAGAAACCTCCACTACCTATCCCTGGTATCATAAACAATTCTAATTACATTATCTAATTATCACAAATAATCTCATTTTAATGATTCTCTGAAAGAATGGGAGTGATAGTAGACAGCCGGCTTAGTAAAATGAAAGGGTAGAATTGGAAAATGGTCTCTAAGCTCCCATTCAGCCCTCCAATTCTATAACAATGTAATTGAATAAGTAAGCAGTCTCAAGTTGTGGTATAAACATATATTTTTTTCCCTAACTGCTCATTCTCAGATCCTCTCTGTTTCTCTATACTCCAGTTATTACTGATAGCTTACTCAGATTCCATAGTGTTTCATTCTGTTTCCATTATCAGAAGGGTTCTTTTGAGTCCTTACTCAGTCTTGCTCACTTTAAAATTTCAATGTCATGTTTAATTCAAGGTCTTCTCTACTTTGCAGCCCCCACGGCAAGCTAGAATGGTGGATTTAGTGGCTAGGGCTGGGGGTGGGTCTACTCTACCCACTTCTCCCTTTCTCTTCCCTGCTACACTTCCTTTCTAGTCTTAAGCTGGAGGATGAAATGAAGCCGAGGTCTCTCCATAGGATGGCCTCATAGGGATGTTGCAGGCCCCACTGGGTTGGTTTTCTCTACTCCTCAAATTAACACTGAACTGACCACTGGTTCTCTCTGTGAGGCAGGCATCCAAAGGCTGACTCTCTATGAAGTTGCTTATTCCCTATAGTGCCCTTCTTCCCCACACATTTATTATCCTGGTGTGGGAGATTTGGCATGAACATTGACCTTTTCCCTCCCATCCCTCACCAGCCCCTGTCCCAGCCTTTTGTTACCAGAGTCTCTTCACCCAAGAAACCTCTTTGGGTGGGGCAGCAGCAAGAGGACTGGATGTCTTCTACAGTGTCCTCTTTCTCCACAAACAGGAGAGCATCAGGGGCTCTGATGGTCCAGTAACTCAGTGTCTTTCAAGAAGAGACAGAAAGACACCAGTCTGAACTTATGGGGAGATTTGGTGGAGAAGGAGACAGTTAAATGCCGCCACCATTACCAGTCCAATCTTACACTTAAGAGTTATCTCTTGGCCAGGTGCAGTGGCATGTGCTGTAGTCCCAGCTACTGAGAAGGCTGAATCAGGAGGATTGTTTGAAGCCAGAAGTTCAAGTTCAACCTGGGCAATATAGTGAGACACCATCTCAAAACAAGCAAACAAAAAAGAATCATCACTTGAGTCCTTTCTCAACCTCAGAAAGGGTCATTATCTCTTCACCTTACAATGAGGTAAGTGGAAGGAATAGGCTGTCTTCAGGAACCACAAACACCCCCCGCCCCAACCTCCAAGTCTACTTTGTCCCTTCCAGTCATTCCCTTACTCAGCCTGGGGAAAAGGGTTTGGGCAAAAGAAATAGTGAAGGTAGTGGAGGTAGTGAAGCCAGCTTCTTAGTAAGGAAGGGACGGTCATGGTTGCCTGAGTATGTGAATATTTAGAGCCTTTTTTAAAGGAGTGGTGGCTAATTCCAGCACTCACAACTACTTCCATCCTAGTACACCAACTTCTACAATGATTTGTTTGTCAGGTCATTTCTCCCTATTGGTAAATCTATCATACTGAAGGTGCCACCATGAAGAATCTCCCTGGACTTTCCTAGAGCTGGGGTTAGCAAAATAGCCAAGTAGACAAAGCTTACTTTTAACGCCAATCATCACTATCGACAACCCAGAACAGTCCTCCCTTGATTCTTCTCAGGAATCTTCAGACTCAAAAGAGCTTTGGGTCCAACGATCACTGCTAAGTGTGTTAAGGTGTCAGGTGCCCATCGGTTAAAAGTTCTCCAAAAAAACCAAAGACCATCAAAATTAAAAAAAATAAATAAATTCCAAAATGTACAACTTCTGGCAGAATGATTCAAGTAAAGACATTTGTCAAGGCATTTACTCAGCCCATTTATAAGCATGGTCCCATCTGACTCCATTCCCCTCTAGCACATCTTGATCCCTCTCTTTCTCTTCACTCCTTTCAGAAACCTCAACTACTGGTCAAGCTTAACAGCTAACATTTCTGAGTGTGACTTCTCACAACCTATGCAGTTCTTACTTTGATGACGATGTCTCTGGATAAAGACCATCTTCCCAGTTGCAGGAAAGAAAACTGGGGATCAAAAGGTTACCTAAACCAGGCATGGGGACACAGGCCTATAGTTCCAGCTACTTGGGAGTTTGAGGTGAGAGGATCCCTTAAGCCCAGGAGTTCAAATCTAGCCTGGGAAACACAGCAAAACCCCCATCTCTACTAAAAAAAATAAAATAAATGTTACCTCCTGTTGAGACTTCTGACTTCCAATATGCCTGGCGTAAGTATACACACACACACACACGTGCACACGCACACGCACATAGAAACATCAGTTCATTTATCACAAAACTAGCTTGTTCCCACACTAAATAAACATGAGAAAGTATGAGGAAAAAAAGTTTTTTAGGTTTCAAATGCTTGGGAGAACCCTTTCTTTTTGGACAAGAAAAAAAAAATCACTTTAAGAGAATGTGACCAAATACTTTATTGCATAAGTGCTGTAATACTAGAGAGAGAGCCAAAGACCTGTACCTTTCAATAATTTAACATAACTTCAGATAGATAATTAAAACTGACATACAAAAGAAAGCTTACTGTACCTTTAACACTAGGCAGTCTCCAAGTTATGGGGACAAACTTATGGGTACCATTTGGCCATGACACTAAATCTCTGCACAGCAGAATGGATTCATTACCTTTAACACAATAAAGCATCCACAAGGGCACAATTTCATGACACAATCATATATTTGAATTTCCCACATATTGACTTTGCAATTTCTACCAAAAATAAGAAATTAATTGATCAGACAGAATTTCAGTTTAATGGAATTTAACAAATATTAAACATGTTCCTCCTACATGTAAGGCACTATATCTGCCTCAAAGCTAATTAGGAGGAAATCTTGACCATATAGCATCATCTCTCCTACCACTAAACAAAAGTTACAACTTCCTTGGACTGGAAACTTAAATGCTCTTTATTTTATTTATTTATTTATTTATTGACACTGGGAGACAAATCTATCAAAATATAAAATAATTCATAACAGATTACAATAATTAAGTAATGGTCCATCCTTAGCCTATATAATTTATACCAAAGTTGGACCATAAACTCTTGCTTCATGGTAAAGAAGATAACTTCAGTCAAAGAATAAAAATAAACAGGCATACCTCAGAGATATTGTAAATTCAATTCTGGACCATCACAATTAAGCAAATATTGCAATAAAGCAAGTCACACAAATTTTTTTGTTTCCCATGCATATAAAAGTTATGTTTACACTATACAGTAGTCTATTAAATGTGCTATAGCATTACATCTAAAAGCACAATGTATATAACCTTAATCTTAAAATACCTTATTGCTAAAAAATGCTAATGATCATTAGCCATAATCATAATGATTATGAGCCTTCAGCCAGTCATAATCTTTTTGCTGCTGGAGGGCCTTGCCTCCATTTTGAACACTGGTGACTGATCAGGGTGGTGGTTGCTGAAGGTTTGGGTGGCTGTGGCAATTTCTTAAAATAAGATAAAAGTGAAGTTTGCCACATTTATTGACTCTTTAGTGAAAAATGTATCTGTAGCATACAATGCTGTTTGATAGCATTTTACTCACAACTAACCTCTTTTAAAATAGGAGCCCACTCTCTTGAACCCTGCTGCTGCTTTATCAAATAGGTTTATGTAATATTCTAAATCTTTTGTTGTCATTTCAATGCTCAGAACATCTTCACAAGGAGTAAAATCCATCTCAAGAAACCAATTTCTTTGCTCATACATAAGAAGCAACTCCTCATCCATTCAATTTTTATCATGAAATGGAAGCAATTCAGTCACATCTTCAGGCTCCACTTCTAATTCTAGTTCTCTTGCTATTTCCACCCCGTCTACAGTGACTTCCCCCACCGAAGTCCTGAACCTTTCAAAGTCATCCATGAGGTTGGAATCAACTTCTTCCAAATTCCTGCTAATGTTGATATTTTTACCTCCTTCCATGAATCATGAATGTTCTTAATGGTACCTGGAATGGTGAATCCTTTCCAGGTTTCAATTTACATTGCCCAGATCCAACAGATGAATCACTATCTATAGCAACTATAGCCTTATGAAATGTATTTCTTAAATAATAATACCTGAAAGTCAAAATTTCTCCTTGATCCATAGGCTGCAGAATGGATCTTATGTTAACAGGATGAAAACATTAATCTCCTCTACATTTCCATCAGAGCTCTTAGGTGACCAGGTGCATTGTCCACAAGCAGTAATATTCTGAAAGGAATGTTTTTTTCTGAGCAGTAGGTTTCAACAGTGGGCTTAAAATATTTAGTATATCATGCTATAAACATATGTGCTGTCATCCAGGCTTTGTTGTTCCATTCATAGGGCACAGAGTAGATTTGGCATAATTCATAAAGACCCTAGGATTTTCAGAATGGTAATTGAGCATTGGCTTCCACTTAAAGTTACCAGATGCATTACCCCAGGCAAGAGAGTTAGCCTGTCCTTTGAAGATTTGAAGCCAGGCATTGATTTCACTGCTGTAGCTATAAAAGTCCTAGATGACACCTTCTTCTAATTTGAGGTTTTTTAGTGTAGCCGGCTTCATCGATAATCTCTGCTAGATTTCCTGGAGAACTTGCTGTAGCTTCTACATCAGCACTTGCTGCTTCACCTTGCAATTTTACATTATAGAGATAGCTTCCTTCCTTAAACCTCATAAACCAACCTCTGCTAGCTTCCAACTTTTCTTCCACAGCTTCCTCGCCCCTATCAGCCTTCACAGAATTGAAGAGAGTTAGGATCTTGCTCTGAATTAGACTTTGGCTTAAGGAAATGTTATGGCTGGTTTGATCTTCCATCCAGATCGCTAAAACTTTCTTCATATCAGCAACAAGGCTGTTTTTGCTTTCTTATCATTCATATGCTTCCTGGAGTAGCACTTTTAATTTCCTTCAAGCACTTTTCCTTACATTCACAACTTGGCTAACTGACAAAAAAGGCCTACCTTTCAGCCTATCTCAGCTTTAGACATGCCTTCCTTACTAAGCTTAATCATTTCTAGCTTCTGATTTAAAGTGAGAGATGTGAAACTTTTTCTTTCACTTGAACATTTAGAGGCCATTATAGGGTTATTAACTGAACTAATTTCAATATTGTTGTGTCTCAAAGAGTAGGAGGCCCAAGGAGAGGGAAAGACACTGACAACGGCAGGTCAGTGGAGCAGTCAGAACACACACATTTATCAATTAAGTTCGCTGTATTATATGGGCATAGTTCATGGCACTCCAAAACAATTACAATAGTAACATCAAAGATTACTGATCACAGATCACCATAATAGATATAATAACAATGAAAAAGTTAAAAATCTTGTAAGAATTACCAAAATGTGACACAGAGACACAAAGTGAGCACACGATGCCAAAATGAGACACGAAATGCCACCAGTAGACTTGCTTAACACAGGGTTGCCACAAATCTTCTATTTGTTTAAAAAAATGCAATATCTGCAAAGTACAACAAAGCAAAGTGTGATAATGTGAAGTTTGCTTGTACTACTAGGAGCCCCACTCCTCTCAAGGGAAAATGGAATGCAATATTAAAGTAAAGTTATAGGTATTTTATGTGAAAGGAAGGCTATGAAACTGAGAAAAAATGTATATTCAAGTAATCCTTGAGTTTCCCAAAACTGTTTTAAAAATTGGTTTTTGATTTGTCAGCTGAACTTAGTGTTTAAGATAACAATAAAAAATCTGCTATTTTATCCACACCAGCTAAGCTTCAAATCAATACTGTTTTAGAGGATAAGAACATATAGCATAAAGATTAAAAGCAACCTCTGGAGCTAGATTATTTGGACCTACTTCTTGGCTCTGCGTTTATTAGCTATGTGACCTTAGGCAAGTCACTTAACATCTCTCCATCTGTAAAAATCGAGATAATAATAATATGCATATCATATGGTTATTGTGAGAATTAAATTATTTGACACACGTTAATGCTCAAAACAATGCTAGACTCATCATACAAATTATATTAGTATTTGCTATTATTATAAAGAAAATTGCTCAGTAGGAAAACCAATTCAAGATGTTACTAGGTGTTTTATATATTAGATTAAACATAAAAATAAAGCTACTTACTATTAATAACATTTCTAAATATATAATATTTAATTATGATATGAAATCAATACTTCCAAAATATTTCAAAGCTGGAGTTTACTAAATGCTGAAGATGACTTTGCATCTTTTATATACGCCTCTAGGGGGAGCATGAGGCTCCAACTCCCTCACCTCCATCCCCACTCCCACTTCCAAACATTAGTCACCATCAATGATTAAGAAACTGCAAGTTCAAGGACATTGATGGGGTATGTTATATGGGGAGGAAGCTTTCAAAGGAGAGAGAGGTCAGAGTGCACATAGCATGGTCTTCTCTCTCTCCTCCCCAACCCAACAATCAGGGCTGACCTGTAGGGGAGCAGGGCCATCACTCTTCTGATGCCATTACCCTTTTCCTGAACCAGGCCTTAACCCAGCCTGAGCCAAGGGAGGCTTAGAGGGGAAACATACTCTCCCCCTGCTGACCATGTCTCTGACTCCTTATTGTCTAGCCCTAATGCGTGTGCCCCTGATTACACCCTAGAAGGTGTGCGCACCCTCATCATCGGCTGTCAGATCTGGGAGGTGGGGTGTGGGCTTTAAGTATACAGGTTATTTGGCTTGCTTTTGTTTGAAGTCGTTTGGGCCTTAGGGAAAAGTGCCTACAACATGGTCAGGTCTAGCTTTCTAGGGTTCTACATTGTAATTTTGGTCCCAGATAACACTAAAGTGTTCTTTTGTCTCTTTTTGCCTCATTTGTGCATCCATCTCCCTCACATCAGAGAATGTCTCACAGAGCAGGTGTTCTGAATTTGAGTATCTCTGATTGCTAAATACTCAGTAGCATCACAATCCCACCATTTCTAACCGTGATATTGTACCGTGTAAATAATACAAGTTTGCCTGCTTATACATATTGCCTGGGCTTAGTCTGTGTTTAGTACATACTTAGCATCTTTAAAAGGCTTTTGAAAGACATGCATGCAGCCAACAAATATATTTTAAAATGCTCATCATTACTAATCATTAGAAAAATGTAAATCAAAATCACAATGAGATACTAACTCACACCAGAATGGCTATTATTAAGAAGTCAAAAAACAACAAATGTTGGTGAAGTTGTGGAGAAAATGGAACACTTATACACTGCTGGTGGTAATGTAAATTAGTTCAGTCACTGTGGAAAGCAGTGTGGAGATTCATCAAAGAGACTAAAACAGAACTACCATTTGACTAACCAATCCCACAACTGGGTATATATCCAACAGCGCTCTACCAAAAAGACACATGCACTTGTATGTTCATCACAGCACTCTTCACAATAGCAAAAACATGGAATCATCTCACCAATGGTGGACTGGACAAAGAAAATGTGGGAAGCATACACTATGGAATACTACACAGCCATAAGAAGGAACAAAATCATGTGCTTTGCAGCAACATGGATGCAGCTGGAGGCCATTATCCTAAGTGAACTAATGCAGAAATAGAAAACCAAATACCACATGTTCTCACTTGTAAGTGGTAGCTAAACACTAAATACACATGAACACAAAGAGAGGAACAATAAATACTGGGGACTACTCGAAGGGGAAGGTTGGGTTAGGGTACTTGGGTTGAAAAACTAACTATTGGGTACTATGCTTACTAGCTCACAGGATCATTCATACACCAAACCTCAGCAACATGCAATTTACCCAAGGAACAAACTTACACATGTACACCCCCTGAACCTAAAAGTCAAGAGAAAAGAAGTAAAAAATGTTAAAAATTAAAGGCTCTTGAAAAAGGTCAGCATAAGAATTAATAAAGCAGATATTATCTTTCAAAGGTATTTTAAACTTTTGAATATGAAGATGTATAGTTAAGGAAAAACACAATAACCTTGCCTATAATAGCTACACACTTTCATAAATTTACAAATACAAATTAAGAAATATATGGAAACGAGACACACTAAAATAGTTTATGTTGTTTTGCCTTGATAGATTTTATTATTTTCAAAATTAACTTGCCTTCTTTCTGAAGTGATAATGATAATGTAAACAATGCTTCTTTTCTACTCACCATGTACAATCCTACTTTTCTCAAAGTAATGCTAGATTGATTATTAATAAGATGAGTTTAAACGGCACTGCTGAAAATAAACTAGGTTATATCTCTCTCTTATATTCACAAAAGATGTTACAGATAAAACTACAAATGAAATCCAATTTTAAATCCAATGGACTATTCCAATACTTCGTCATACTATGATTTTGTTGCCATTAAAAGTTAGCTGAAATACACAATACATTTGCCAATATGTAAGACCGAATGTTGTTGTTACAGAAGTTGGCCGTTTGGCCCTAATAGTTATTGTCAGTTTAGTATAATCATTAATTACCATAAACTCTGTCTATTGTTTCCTATTACAGGAACTAGAATACAGAGATGATCTAGGATAGATAGGGAGGTGAATAAGAGTCAACAAAACTACAAATAAACCTCTTTTACATTATTAAAACACTAAGATTTTGCAGAACTGAAAGGTTTCACTATAATAAAGTTTATTGATTTATTACCTTAGATTTCAATGTAAAGTCCAACACAATGATTCTCTCCCTCCTTCTTATAACCAATGGCTCATTTACTGTTGCTGAGATCCTGCCTCTTAGCTCTGTCTGGTCATCTAAAGTCGGATAGTTTTTTAAAATATACAGTGTTAAGCACATCTCAGTTTGGACATTGCTCCTGAATGTGGAGTTATTTTTAATATTCACAGTTATTAAAGCTGAACAGAATTGAGTGAGGGCGCAAAGAAGACTGATGCAATTCCTTCATTGAGTTACTGCCTGGGCCACTGCCTGATTAGTTTGCTGTGGCATTGCCTAGAAGCAGTTAATGAATTGCTTGTTCAGTAGCACCAAGGTAAGGTCGGCTGTCTCCTGATATCTTTTCATAATGCCCTGCTATGCCTGAGGTGTTATTTGGCAATAAATGTTCAATTGACATTTTACTGTACAAAATTTAATTACCTGTTTTCTCCATTGTAAAAAGGGAAAGGTTGGGAAAACACTATTCAGTCTCAATCACAATGCACGTTTAACCCCTCAATGGCTATGTAATTAACTTACACTTTTTTTAGCCTTAATATATTTTCCAAAAGGGAAAACAAACTTTGTAAATTCTGATAATAGTAGCAAACACTAATCAACAGACACTTCAAAAACCTTTCATCAAAGTAAGACAAAGCTCTTTACCTGAAGTTTATTCTTCATTTTCTTGAGAGGTGCTATAAGAAATCACATCAGAAAGACCCTGCAATAAGAAGCAACCACTTCTAAGGTGAAATGTGACCATGTTACTATGGCAATTTGAGAGAAAGTAACATTCTAACTGAAGTTGTGGGGATCATAAACCAAATCTACCTAAGAGGTTCATGCCATTCATGCAGCCAAATCACATCTCGGGAGGAGAGCCGCAGCTGAAGCCCCCAGGGCACACTCTCAGCAACCCTTACGGTAAAGTAAAGGCTGGCCAGCTCCTCTGGTTATTTCTCCAAAATCCATCCATAAGTTGGTTATTCGGAACTTTTAACACATATTTGTAGAGAATAAAATCTATAAATGCTGATTAATTCCTGGGTCAATCTACAAACGCCTATATAATCCATAGAGTGCCTAAAATTTTTAACTAATTTTTAATCACATTTAATTTCCCTTCATAACCGTCCCTATTTAAACACACACACACACACACACACACACACACACTTTCAGAGCTCCAAAAGAAGATTCCCCCATTTCCTTACTCCCCTAGATTTATATATATTCCTATGACCCAGGTATTTTTTCTGCCTGCGTATCAGCCTAAAAGAGAATACAATGCTTCACAAACTCCACTGTCTGCAGGGGTATGGGGAAAGTGGGCCTGGGGTAAAACAATAGGATGTAAGCTCCATATATTGACGCCAAGCAGAACACCTGCCAGATTGCTCTGTCTTTTCAAGTACAGCACAGGCCTAACAAAATAGCCAAAGACAGAAGAGGTTGCAATCCCTTTCTAGAATAATCAACCTCCAAATGTTCTGAACTGAAGGAAAGAAGGCTGAGAAAAGATAATGTACCCCACAAACCATAGGACCTAAGATGCGTACTCTTCTGTCACTATCTCACGTGTTCGGGCTGTTTCAAACCTAGAAGTGTTGATGGATTGTGGGACTTCTTGCATCTGAGAACCAGCCCAAGAGCACAAACTCTGAAATTAAGCAGACATGACTTTCAGTCATCACTCCACATTTTAACAGTAGCTCTCTGTGCCTTCCTTCCATACTTTAGAGAGTTTCCTGTGAGGTTTAAGTGATACAAACGTACGAAAGCTCCTAGTTTAGTATATGACTCACAGTAGTAGGCACTTAATGTGAACTGCATTCCTCTTGCCTCTCTGAGGAAAGCCATAATCTTGATAGGGGTCTACTGGTACCCAAGGGGCACCTTTAAGGCTTCAGTTCAAAAATCCACCATACCAGCCCAAGATGACATGAGAGAGTGAGACTCGCCATGATATAAAATAATGAGACATGAACAACACCCAAGTAGCTGCTCCAGTGCTGGTCTCAACACCTCATTCCCAACTCCCATCTTCATCCCCCACACCCATGTCCATGAGATCCAAGTGACAATTTCTATTCTTCCTTGCCTAGAGAATTTGTTCTTAAGTAGAACAAAAGGAAGTTGAAAAAAAGTAGAACCCGTCAATGTGTCACATACAATGGAAGAAAAATCAACTGCTATTTTTAAAATACACATGTAGCTCAGTTTCCACCAACTAATATAGTAAATAAGCTATGCTGCTTCCTATTTCCAAAACATTACAATTATTACTGCACTACAGCTATTTGGAACAGCATTTAATGTTTTGATTAATATAAAATGTACTAAAGCTTTTCTTCTTTGTGTACATTTCAATGCCAAATTTAAAAAAACTCTTGGCAAAACTGTGAAAAATGCATTTTCTCTCAATATAAAACATTTGCTATGTATTTCTTATATGATCTAGACTTTTTTTGGAAACTCATTTTTACTATGCTAAAGGGAACAAACCACAGGGCAGCAGATTATAGGGCTATAAGCAATAATCTAAAATGTTAAATATTTTAAATGCTATAAGTTTGATATCAAATACCAGATAAATAAATGGTCTTATTTCTTAATTAGAAATATATTCAAATGCAGAATAGTAAACAACTTTTAGAGATTATCAATACTGCAGGTATCCAACTTGTCATTTCAAACCACAAGTCATCAAGAAGAAATTAAAATGGATTCTATTGCATTATTGTGGTATATAACAATGCGCTTACCAAAAAACATGCAGCATTTATCAATGTCAATGCTGTTGAAACAATCACACAGAAAAATATAGGAAAAAGTAGACAGATTTTAAAAAAACTTAGTTTAATTCTCACATTGAACGTTTTTAAACCTAGGATTGGTTATATGTGGGGAAGAAACACAATGTCAGTAGAAAGAATTTCTGAAGATGCATACAGATAAATGTTGTCATTGTTTTCCTCAGCTCAGAAGAAAATTGTTTTTTCAACTAAACACATGTTTTCACAAATTATGGAGGGCAAATTTACTAAAAACATTCTTTTTATTAATATACAAGACAGTCTGTTTTCTGTCAGGATAGCACTATTCTGAAACAATACCTTAAATTGAGCTGACAAGAATTTAATATTTGATGATTCACAACCTTTCAGTGGCTCAGCATTATGAATATCAATTATTACTGCACTACAGCTATTTGGAACAGCATTTAATATTTTGATTAAAATGTACTAAAGCTTTTCTTCTTTGTGTACATTTCAATGCCAAATTTAAAAAAAAATCTCTTGGCAAAACTGTGAAAAATGCATTTTCTCTCAATATAGAACATGTGCTATGTATTTCTTATATGATCTAAACTTTTTTTGGAAACTCATTTTTACTATGCTAAAGGGAACAAACCACAGGGCAGCAGATTCAAGAATGTCACCAGAAAGGTTCTTGATCTCAGAGACGGAGTGGAACAGAGCTTACCACCTGCCTTTTTTTCTCCTTAGAAGGGCGTTAAGGCCTCTGGGAACAGACCCCAATGACTGCTGCCCACCAAAGACCTACCAGATTACCCCCTCTAGGCTTCAAAAATGCTTAAAACTATGAGACTTGTAAAACTCTAGCCAGATTTTTTTGTAGAAATCAGGAGCTGCTATAGTTCATCATAGACACATATAGATATATCTGCTTACACATGCATGGAATATTTTGGAAGCATACATAAGAAAGTGTTAACATCTATGAGGGTGGACTACATAAGTGGGAATGTGGAGTGTCTGAGGGTCTTTCCTTCACACTCCTTTGCAACATTTGATTTTTTAAATTATATGTATGTGCTACTTTTCCAATAAAAACCTAACATAATAATTCACTTTATTTTCTAATATCTTTAATTTTAAAGGCCATTTACCAAATGTTAATTGCATTTACTATTAAATAGGGGAAAAATCAAGTTAATATTCTGTTGTCTCCCTCCTTTTTTGTCACAAAAAGAAACTTCAAAACAAAAGAGGCACCATTACTCAGCAATGACCCTTCTGAGAATATAAACCAGCATAGTACAATTCACAAGTGGCAAACTCAGTTGCAAGAATTTGTATATTCCTTATACTCCATTACTTTTGTTTTTTACAACATTATAGAGCCGTTTGCTCTTTATTGTCATATATTTTAAAGTCTCTTGCAGTGCCTGTTTTACACACACAGGACACCATGTAGTATCAATACAGTAGAATCCAAAATGTATGTGTTTCCTAATTGTGATGTTTTTTAAGTTTGAAAACAGTGTGCTTTCTGACCTGTGGGTTAAAAACAAAATAGTAATTTCCCTTTGTCCAAATTCACACCCAGAATAGAACACTCCTGTTACATAATCAAAAAGCCACAAAATAACAGAAACTACTACAAGCCATTTGTAATTACCACCCACTCTTCTTTATATATTATAGAAACCTCTCCACTGATTTTAAACTTCCATGTGTCAGTGTTGGGAAAAAGACTTTACTGGAGCCACATTCTGTGGTTAGTCTACCTAAGCTGGTGCTGGGAGCTTGCAACATGCGTGATGCACTGGTTACGCAGCTTAACCCTGAACAGAGCTTTTGAATATATTAGTGAACCCAATAAATTCAATAGTAAGTAAAAGTCCATCTTTCATTGTCATTGAGGGATGTGTGTGTGTGTATGTACACACACACATATATACTTACATATATACATACATACATATCGTTTTATACTGACTGCTCCACCAAAATCAATTTTAATCTGACATACATTTGATTGATTACTCACATGCATTTACACTGAGGCCCTTTTCCAGAGCCTGTGCGAGGGTTCTTTCCTAAATAACCTTACCCCAAAGTCATGCTCCCAAAAGAGGAAATCTCGAACAGAAGAAACAAGCCCCAAGTGGAAGGAAGATGGAAAGAGAAAGGGGAGGAAAGAGGTTTACAAATTCCTTGCCAAATGGATGGAGAGAAATTCTGTGAGGTGATTAGCGGGTCAGGAAGCGTTTTCCCTGGATGTGGTGGTAACCACAAGGACCAGTGATAATGCTTGGGGGATTGATTGCTTTCCGGTTGTGCTTTCTGCAGCGCAAAAACTCTGGGCTCTTGCATTGCTCTTTACTGTGATGCAGGGTCCACTTAAAACTCTGCCTCCCTACCGGGAAAGTTCACACATCTTGGGATTTCGGGATCATTTAAGTCTAGAGGGATTCTTTTTTTACACTTGAGAGTAAGCTGTGCATTTTCTTCATTGTATGGGAAAAGCTAACCCTTCATTGGAAAGCAATGCACAACCATCCGGTGGGTCTGCATTTATCCAGAGTTCTCCCTTCCTCCCTCCATCAACGGTTTAGTGAAGCTTGCAGAGAAAATGAGGGAAAGCATCCATCAGAACGCAAAGACGCAGAGCGGAACTTTTCCTCTGCCGTCAGTGGGGAGAAAAAGTCACTTGTGCGTCTCGTGGCTGACAGCTGAGTCTGGGAACCTCCGGATAAGGAAGGAAGGTTTGGCGTTGAAGGAGGTGGGAGAAAACAATGCTGAGCCCGGATGCCTCCGGACACCGCACATCCTGCCCGGGTCCCTGACCCACCCATCACCCACAGCCACGCTCCCGGTGCGGCGCGGCTTTGCTTACCTTGATGATGCTGCTGCGCCGGGGGGTCGCCCGTGCTGCCTCCAGGAGGCCCGCCTCGCTGTCCGCTGGGGTCCCCGCGGCGCCTGGCAGTGCGACCCCGCTGCGACGGTCCCTCATCCGGCCCCCAGAGGCCGCCGTCACGCAGTCCCCGGCGGCATCCGGGCC
This sequence comes from Homo sapiens, assembly GCF_000001405.40. NCBI lineage: Eukaryota > Metazoa > Chordata > Mammalia > Primates > Hominidae > Homo > Homo sapiens. The sequence goes on along the minus strand of NC_000002.12, from coordinate 197,805,174 downwards.
CACTCGGGGGTCGTCTTCGCCCCCCGCCGCGTCGGGCGGCGCCGGATCCTCCCTGCCGGCCGCGCCCTCGGCCATGGCCTGGAGCGTTTAGGGCTCCCCGGGGGAAAGCGGGACGCCCGGCAGCGGAGTCCAGCCGCTAGGCACCGGTGCGCTCCTGCACCGGGAGGCGGCCCCGCCAGACTTTGTTTCACCGCCCAGCGGCGGCAGTGGCGGCGGCGGCGGCGGCGGCGGCAACTTTCTGGAGAGGGGACATCGCTCGGGCAGAGACGTCCTCGGGCTTCGGTCTAGGAGGCTAGCAGTCCGGCGGGGGACGGTGGCGGGAGTGGGGAGGCGATGTGAGCGGGAGGCAGAAGGAGAGGCGAAAAAGAGAGGGAGGTATCCGAAATGTGATGCAAACGCCGGCCCTGCGCCAGACAAAAGGCACCGGGCGCCCAGCCAGGCGGCCTCTGGAGCCCGGACGCCGGCGGCCCGATAGGGGCCAGAGCCGGGCGACTGCGGCCGGGCGCACCCGCCACCTGCCCGCGGACTGCGGCGCAGCGGTCCCAGGAAGTGCGGCGGCGGCGGCGGCCTCCACTCAGCTCTGTTGTGACAGGGAGGGAGACTTGTTTTGACAGCCCTTGGGGATTGGCAGGCGTCTGGGCCTCTTAGGAGCCTCGCCTCGCCGAGGGGGCTCGGCCCGACCAATCCTCACTGCGGAGGGGTGTGCCCGAGCGCGAAGAATGGAATGTGTTCTGCAACTGGGAGCCGGCCCAGCGGGGCTAATGTACTCGAGCCAGGGTGTACCCGCGCGCGCGCGTGTGCAAACCCGGAGGCGCTCCGTGTATATTTTAGGAAGTTTAGATTTGCGAAATGAGCCTGAGATGCAACAAAAATCCAGGTTGGGTGAAGGAGAGGGGAGAAAGAAACCTTCTTCTGCCAAACAAAGCAATTTGGAGGAAAGTGGGTATTGAGTATGAATGTCTAAGCGTTTGGGGTGACGGGGTGAAGCTTTGCGTGGTCACAGGTTAATTGCAGGCTCTCAGGCCAATTCTTAGAAGTCAAGTCCATGCAGAGATAAACTAGGGTTTACTGGGATCTTGGGGTTCCATAATTTGCTTCAGGTTCCAGGAAAGGATTCTAAGGTCATTCTGCAGTGTGAGTAAATATAACAAGGAAAGGGAGTCAGTGAAAGAGATGAGGGTGAAAGGAAACTGAACCAACTAAATCCCTCCGAAGACTGACTCTTAAAAAGCACAGATATAATCCAAGTCAGATAAATGCAGGTGGGGAGTTTAGTCTCTATCCTAAAACATTCCTATTTGACAATGGTTCAGCCTCCTTTCTCTATATAATCCTATATAAAAACATATTTTGCTCATTTCCAGTAAGCTAGCAACCAAGAAGGGAGAGATCTTTGGATGATGAGTTAAGTCACTGAAATTATCCACAGAATGCTCAGATGCAAACCATGGTCCTAAGGCTCCCTGGTAAGACAAAAGACTTGGCATTTTAATTTTAAACTCCTTTGATATTAGAATCTATATTAAACCTCACTTATAACATTACATTTTATCTTATTAATAATTTAATAATTTGAGATTTTACTTGTTCCTTAGTCTGGCTAACAGCATGAGAAATTATTCAGCATTTTAGACCAACAATTTGGTTTGAATCTCATAATTTTAGAGATATATGGGGATTTAGGGATCAACTAGGACATCATTTTTGTTTTACGGTTGAGACAAAGGCCCAGGGAGTCTTGTCTACTAGTTAGTGCAGGAGCCAAAATTAGAATCAGCCACCCAACTCCTCCGATAATCTCTTCACTACTTTATCTGTCTCCTCTGGGCTACAACCAGCCAGAACTGGCAGGGGCACTTGGGAGGTTTCAGATTTGACATTTATCAACTACTAGGGAATACTGAGAAGGCTTGACTTTGCCTTTTCTTTAAACATAAATGCAGCCTAGTAATGAATGTACTGTAGAGAGTAGCAGTGACCTCTGGTTTTAGAACCAACACCACCCTCTAGTGAGATTCTGAGAACTGCATCCATAACAGCAAAGGCTTCTTTTTCCCCCTCATCTTTAAAAGACAGGAGGGGTAACCCAACAAAAGTTTCCTTTTCAACAGGTATGCCTTTACAACGCACAGACTAGAGGAAGAAAATAAAGTGTACCCAGACTTAAAACAACCATACATGTCTTCCATCTCCTTTAGTTCAGGGAATTCCTGTCTATGCTATATAGGAAATATTTTTAATTGCTATCCTCAGAAATATATCTTATTTTAGGCTATCATTTTTTTCTTTGATATTCAACTATTATTACATTTGACTTCTGTCATTTACAGTTGTCAGTGCTTCATTTTTCTTTGTTACTCTAATAAAAGTCCCATTCTTCGGTTGTCCTCTGAAAAATGTAAAACTGCCTTTATCTCACTCATTATCTTGTTATAGGATATTAATGTCATTTATAAGTTCCTCATCCTACAGATTTGTGTACCATTATGATAATAATTTATTTTTACAAATTTTAAAATTAGCATCACTTTATTAACAAACATTCAAGGTCAGTGATTTAAAAAAAAACAGAGGCCAGAAAGTACAGCATATAACTTGCAAAATGTTGTATCTTTCAACTAGACAATGTCTAGTTGGACTCTTTTCTCTTCCTTGGCATCCTTCCCTCTCACCCTCATGTGAAAGTGCACACACACACACACACACACCCCTCTGATTCCTTTGCTCTGAGCCTCTATCCGTAAAGATTGTTGTCTAAATTACTCTGCTTTGATAAACTAGTTGGACCCTAATCTAGCAAGTCGTTTATATTGTTGTGTTCCAGCATAAGCTCAGAAGGCTTTTCCTGATACTCATGTTTGCAATTGAAAAAAAAAAAACCCCTCCTATGTACTTGCTCCTAGCCAGGAGCAGATTCTGCTTTGTGGACCCACTTCAAAAACTGAAAGAGACTAGCTAGTTTCAGTTAAGTCAGCAGCCATGGGCACATTCCTACCCCTGCATTAACAGTCCCTCTTTCCAAATAGCTGTCACCTACAATTCTTGCCTCCCAACCTTTTACCAAGTCATGGTGACAATTGCTAGATTGGCAGATTGGAATTTGGGGGTGAGCAGGGGTAGGAAGGTAAGATATGAATAATAGTAACGAGCAGGAAATTCAAATGTTACTACGTCAGAAAGGACTCTCTAACTACAAATCTCAAGTTGCCCCTACAAGCCTCAGTACATGTCAGTCATATTGTGTTTTGTCTTCTCACAGGATTTTATCACTGTGAACAAACTGTCTTTTCCGTGGAATTGTTTACTTACATATTCTGTTTTACTTTCCCCCTATCTCTGCTTCACTGAAATGTAGAATGCCATCTCCATGTGCCTAAAGACCTTGCGATTTTATTCATTGCTGTATCTCCAGCTCCCAGAACTATGTCTGGAACAGAGTAAGTGCTCAATAAATATTTATGGACAGAGGACTTTTGCAGTCCTGTGACTAAATAAAATAATCAATCTGATAAAGAAAAATGGTTCTGTCACTGTCTGCATGGTAGAACTTCTCATCCTCAAGGATCCTAGAATTCCATTTTAGAGCAGAAATCAGAACAGATCCACACCAAGCAGCTACAAATCTCAGAAGAAGGGCACTTATTAATTGGAATGACTTGAAATCTAGAATTAGACTGAAATACAACCAATAAGAACTAAGCAAGTTCTAGCAGTCCTGAAAATACCTAGACCAGACTAAAAGACTAGATATGTCAATATAGTCCTTCCAGCCAGGGAAGTCCAGAACCCTGGGCCTGAGAAAAAACCAGTGAGAATATTAAGACTTTCCATATACTACCAGGAAGTCATAGTGGGGGGAAAAGAACTATCTCTTTGATAACTGCTTTCTATGTACCAGATAATCCTCTCTGCAGTATTCTGATCTCCACTTCACAGATAAGAAAACTGGGGATCAAAAGGGTCAAGTAGCTTGCTTGAAGTTAGAGCCAACTAGGAAGTGAAAGAACCAGCATTTGAGGCAATGTTAGTGACTTCAAAGCCTGCATTCTTCCTGCTACCCAAAGCTCTCATAAGATACAAGTCCAGTAGCTGTCCTGGAGAATGAAGAGCCACTCCTTCAGATCTGGGACCACTCATATTAACCATGACAACCTCCTCTCTCAACATCAACATGACCTTTATGTCATCAGCATGGACCACCAGTATGACTGATTCATTAGTGCATGAGGAAACACATTTATCATCTCATTCACATATGTGTAAGAAAAATATTTTTATATTGAGACAGGTCTCCTAATAAGTTAAAGGACGCATTGCACGTAATCAAAGAAGAGGACATACAGCATTTTCAGTTAAGTTGCATGCATCTTTACATTCAGTCATAGCCCTCCCCAATATACATGGTGATCATTTTGTTTTGCTAGCTCAAGAAAACAGAATTTGTAGGGTAATTTGTAGAGTGAATATTATAGTAGAGTAAATACATACAAGTCAATAAAAGATAAGCAAAACTTGATATATGACCTCTTTGAAATTCAAGTTTTTTCTTGAAAGTTTTTGTCACTTATATTAGGAATTAAGAAATTTCAGTAACTAAAACATAAAAATCAACTAATCTTATTTCAAAGAACAAGTAAAGTGTGCTCCATTATAACAGTCCTACAAAAATGAGAAGTTACAAATTGCTTATAATAGGTCTAGATTCCCCAGTTTAATAAATCTTTAAAGTACTGAGAGGCAATGAATCTAAGAAATCTTTAATTACAGCCAATGTTCTTCAATGTCTGATTACTGCTGCTTCTTTCAGAGGTTGAGAAATCTCTACTGTCTGCAGGAGAGCAGAATGCCTGGGCCTCTATCCATTAACACCATTCCCACAGGAATTACCCCATGAAGACCCTGGGGCTAAGGCACTATCAGGAGCTCCAGGCCAATCATCTGGCAGTAGTCTGTATTGTGCATGGCAAAGGTCTTTTAAAAATAGACAGTGTTGATTTATTTTCTATGTATTAACTTACTTTGACGTGGATCCTGGAGTTGGAGCTCATGTCACGGTTTTTTCCCCCACTGATGCAGAAGCCAGAGGCACTTAGGAAAAGTACCACTGAAATGGCACAAATAAGGCCCCCATAAAAACTTGATTCTCTGTTTTATTTGACAACCGAATCTTTTCCAGGTACAACGTTATGACAGAAATCTTTTCAAACCAGATATACACCCAATGCCTGACATTTTCAATGCAGAAGTGAATATACAGTAGGTTCCTCCTCCCCTCGAGCCCCCAAATCCCAGGTACATTCCTCAAATCTAAATCACCTACACGATGTTGGGGTTTTTAATCCTCCAACTTATACCAAGGTATGAAGTTTATTAATGCTTTTTAGTGTCACAGGGCCCATTGGAAGAAACTGCAGAGTCATATTTCCTTTTCTAATGCACTTCTTTTCTCCACTCATAATGTGTAAGACTCTTACACCTATTTTATAGACTTTATTGATATGCCTTTGTTCTAGTCTACCTTAAACCTTTCGGGAGGAAGAAGCAGAGTGCAATATTTGAATAAATATAAAATCATAATGCATGTTTTACATTAAAATATAGGACAAAAGTAAAGTATAGTTTGTTTTGTAAGCCCTTTTTTTCCGAGTTAGTTTTCAGGTATATAGCTCTTTTGTTAAGCATGATACGAAGTTTGTCTGCTTTACAAAATGAGGAGTTAGAAAAAGTGAATCCTTCCTTTTAAAAAAAAAAACAAACAAACAAACAAACAAAAAAAAGCCAAATGCCTCATGAAAGCTGGCTTGCCAGCGTTTGCTCTGTCATTAACCCCTGTGAGAATCACGCAGTTCCCACTCTCATTAAGTCATATAGGTCACCATGGATACAACTGCCTCTACTCAGCCCACAGTACGGGAGCAACAGCTGTTGAACCACACTTGGGACTTTTGCCATTCACTGTTCTGTATAAATTGTACTGGTGAAACATTTCAGATAATGTTACAATTGTTTTTGAAATTTTAAGTATGTTGTAGGAAACATCTGAAATATTAGACAACAGTAAAGGACTGAAATTTAATTTAACTTGTGAAATAGAATAACAAGTAAGAAGCACCGTACATTTTGTGTAATAAGATGTTGCGGCACTTTCTTCAAATTTTCTCCTAACCAAAATGAAATTTTAATAACTAAACTGATAGCTGCAGATAAAATCTACTTGGAAGATTCTTTGACAAGCAAATACTTAACTCTGGGCAAAAACCACAAAACAGTACTATTTTATACTATAATTTATAAAGGAAGGAATATGTTTTCTGATTTGTGATGATCATTATATTTCTCATCAATAAGCTACTGTGAATTCTAAAATTCAGAAAAGTAAAATATGTAGTTAAAATTTTACCCTTCTGCCTACCATAATTTTTCTATATTCAGGATATGGATTAAAGAGATTTTACTTTGTTTTATGAAAATGTGATGAGATGGTCTGTGATCTGTGATTGAAACAAAAAAAAATCAAAAGGAGTGTCTTTATACTTAACACCCAGTGGATAATAAAAATAGCATTTATTTAATTATAAAAAGTAGCATACACAATGTATTTCCTCTTATTTCTCATCTTAATTCTCACCACTCATTAATCCACCAATCATTAATAACATTCACTACTGTGATCACACGGAAACACTTCATTAACACTCTTTGTCATAAAGCAGATCTTTATACCCTGGGGGATTTTTACTGATCCTCCCTGGAGGAGGGTCATACATCCTCATCCCATTTACAGTGGGCTCAGCCATGTGACTTGCTTTGACCAGTGAAAGAAACCCCTTCTAAGCAGACGCTTTAAAAGCCAGCATAAATTTAACTATGATCTCATTTTCTCAGCCTCGAGATTGTTCACCAGACAGGGGCTGAATCCTGAGTGAAAGTGGCATGGAGCAGAACTGAAGCCAATCTATAATAGACACGTAACATGAGCAATAAAACATCCTTTGTTGTAAACCCCTTGGATTTGAGGGTCATTTGTTACTGTAATATAACCTAGCCTCTGCTGAGTGATAGAGGTATGTAAGTTTACTGAAAGCCCTGTGCTTTCCACAACCATGCTTTCAGTTCATATGGCCGGATACTGTTTGATTCACATGTAACCAGTAAACATTTCTGGCATCTAGTAAACTGGTACAAACTAAAAACTTTTATATATCCAATAAAATTGCATATAATGATTTCCATTTCTGTGACCCATTTTTCTCATTTATCTCTTTACTGCAAGCTGTGTAAGCCCCGATTCTGCCTTTCTTACTAGGTTTAGAAATTATAGCATAATGAGATCATATGTATGCTTTTTTGGTACAATTTGTTCTTCTTTTGCCTATCTTGGACATATCTTCCCTCTTCCACCCACATCAACCCTCCCCACTCCTTGCAAGGTAACTCAAGTTAACATTCATCTATGTATATGTATATGTGTGTATATATATACACATAAACAAAGTATATTTTGTCACTGTTTAGCAGAAAAAAATGAGGGGGAGAGATAATCTTATATATACCTGATATGGTTTGGATGTGCCCCACCCAAATCTCATCTTCAATTTTAGTTCCCATAATCCCCACTTGTTGTGGGAGGAACCAGCTAGAGATCATTGAATCATAGGGGCAGTTTCCCCAATCCTATCCTCATGATAGTGAGTTAGTTCTCACAAGATCTGATGGTTTTATAAGGAGCTTTCCCCTTCACTTGGTGTTCATTCATTCACATTCCTGCCACCCTATGAAGAAGAACATGTTTGCCTCCCCTTCCACCATGATTGTGAATTTCCTGAGGCCTCCCCAGCAATTCTGAACTGTGATCAATTAAACCTTTCTCCTTTATAAATGACCAGTCTCAGTAGTATCTCTGAAGCAATGTGAGAACAGACTTATAGAGTAAATCGGTACTGGTAGAGTGGGGTGCTGCTATAAAGATACTCAAAAATGTGGAAGCAACTTTGAAACTGGGTAACAGGCAGAGGTTGGAACAGTTTAGAGGGTGCAAAAAAAGTTAGGAAATTGTGGGAAAGTTTGGAACTTCTTAGAGACTTGGAGGGCTCAAAAAACAGGAAGATGTGGGAAAGTTTGGAACTTTCTAGAGACTTGAATGGCTTTGACCAAAATGCTGATAATGATATGGACAATAAAGTCCAGGCTGAGGTGGCCTCAAATGGAGATTAGCAACTTGTTGGGAACTGAAGTAAATGTCACTCTTGCTATGCAAAGAGACTGGTGGCATTTTGCCCCCATCCTAGAGATCTGTGGAACTTTGAACTTGAGAGAGATCTGAAATTGGAAATTATGTTTAAAAGCAAAGCAGAGCATAAAAGTTTGGAAAATTTGCAGCCTGACGATTCAGTAGAAAAGAAAAACCCATTTTCTGGAAAGAAATTCAAGCCCACTGCAGAAATTTGCATAAGTAATGAGAAGACAAATGCTAATTGCCAAGACAATGGGGAAAATGTCTCCAGGGCATATCAGACACCTTTGCAGCAGCCCCTTCCATCACAGGCCTGGAGGTCTAGGAGGAAAAAAATGGTTTCCTGGGCCAGGCCCAGGGCCCCCCTACTGTGTGCAGCCTAGAGACTTGGTTTCGTGCATCCCAGCCACTCTAGCCATGGCTAAAAGGGGCCATGGTACAGCTCAGGCCATGGTTTCAGAGGGTGCAAGCCCCAAGTCTTGGCAGCTTCCACATGGTGCTGACCCTGTGGGCCCACAGAAGTCAAGACTTGAGGTTTGGAAACCTCCACCTAGATTTCAGAGGATGTATGTAAACCCCTGGATGTCCAGGCAGAGGTTTGCTGCAGGGGCAGAGCCCTCATGGAGAACCTCTGCTAGGGCAGTGCAGAAGAGGAATGTGGGGCTGGAGCCCCCACACAGAGTCCCCACAGGGGCACTGCCTAGTGGAGCTGTGAGAAGAGGGCCACCATCCTCCAGACCCCAGAATGGTAGATCCACCTACAGCTTGCACTATGCACCTGGAAAAGCTGCAGACACTCAATGCCAGCCTGTGAAAGCAGCCAGGAGGTGGGGGCTGTACCCTGCAAAGCCATGGAGGCTGAGCTGCCCAAGGCCATGGGAACCCACCTCTTGCATCAGTGTGCCCTGGATGTGAGAAATGGAGTCAAAGGAGATCGTTTTGGAACTTTAAAGTTTAGTAACTGCGCTATTGGATTCTGGACTTGCATGGGGCCTGTAGCCCCTTTGTTTTGGCCAATTTCTCCCATTTGGAACAGGTGTATTTACCCAATGCCTGTACTCCCATTGTATCTAAGAAGTAACTAACTTGCTTTTGATTTTACAGACTGATAGATGGAAGAGACTTGCCTTGTCTCAGATGAGATTTTGGACTTGGACTTTTGAGTTAATGCTGGAATGAGTTGAGATTCTGGGGAACTGTTGGAAGGGCATGATTATGTTTTGAACTGTGAGGACATGAGATTTGGGAAGAGCCAAGGGTGGAATGATATGGTTTGGCTATGTCCTAATGCAAATCTCATCTTGAGTTGTAGTTCCCATAATCCACATGTGTTGTGGGAAGGACCAGGTGAAGATACTTGAATCATGGGGATGGTTTCCCCCATCCTGTTCTCACCATAATGAGTAGTTCTCACAAGATCTGATGGTTTTAAAAGGGGCCTCCCCCTTCACTGGGTATTCATTCATTCTCCTTCCTGCCACCCTGTGAAGAAGGACATATTTTCTTCCCCTTCCATCATTACCATGAGTTTCCTGAGGCCTCCCCAGCCATGCTGAACTGTGAGTCAATTAAACCTCTTTCTTTTATAAATCACCCAGTCTCAGATAGAATCTTTGCAGCAATGTGAGAACAGACTAATACAATACTCCTCTGCATTTTTCTTTTTTCATTCAATAAGAGCTAGTAAAAAATCCCACCACCTCTTCTGCAATAGCTACTTATTCATTCTTTTAAATAAGTGCATAGTATTTCCATGGTGTGAATATATCATAATTCATTCAGCCATTGCCTTATTTAGGGTATCCAATTTATTTCTAGTTTTTCACAACTACAAACAATGTTGTAAAAATCATTTTTATACACATATTTATGAACCAAAGGTTTTATTTGTATAAGATAGACTCCCAGGAGTCAAATTTTAGGGTCTAAGGCGTATATTTACCTTTGATAGATAATGCCTGATAGCTTTCCCAAAGAGCTACAATACTTCACATTCCACCTTAAAAGGTACTGTAGCTCTGATTAATTTCTGTGACTATTATAGGTATAAAGTTATAGTCTATTGTTATTTTAATTTTCACTTTCCAGATTACTAAGCATTGTTTCCAATGTTTCTTGGCCATTTGGTCTTGATCTTCAGTAAGTTGTCTACAAATGTGCTTAGCCCTATTTTCTATTGGATCAAATGCCATTTTCTCAGGATTTTGTAAGAGTTTTATGGCAAACATGGAGTTGCCACACCCAGACCCTGCTACGATAAAGGACTCAGTCCCCAGCTGCGAGGAGTAAGGTTCACTGACAGCCTGCAGCTATTCACTTATTCAGGGTCCACCTCAAATTTGAACCAAGATCATAAAGTTCTTCTTCAGGCAGCCCATGGCCAATGAATGAGTGAGGCAGTGATAGCTGAGGGCATGCCCTTCTCCATTTCCACCATCACAGGACTCCACCAACAGACATCCTTGCTCCACAGCTCCCACTTGGCTGGCTGAGTCAGCTTGTAACAGAAGTGATGGCACCACCTGCTCCTCCCTTTTCCCCCAAATATTTTTTGCACCCCTATAAACCTTTTGCACCCCTAACTCCATATGCTTCCCAGAGAACTCAATCAGCACATTGTAAATATTATCCTTATTATGTCATCTACATTAATAGCTATCTAGAATAATCCTTTATTAACTTTATGGAAACTTTTGCCTGCACATTATATTAATTTTCACAGAATCAAAAAATGTCTATCAGCTTGATTATAATTTTTGAGTCTCCACTGTTGATTAAAATGCAGTTTTCCACCCCTAGATTGTACATGTAAATCCTACCTTTTTCTGCAAGATTTTTATTTCTTTTTGAAACTATGTATTTGGTCTGTTTATAATTTATTTCTAAATTTGGTTTTTATATTTATATAAGTGTTAATGAGTGTGTATAAGTGTCAAATAAATTTTTTAAAATAAGATGGGGGTCTATTTTTATTTTCTTCCAGATGAATGTCTATTTGTGCCAACGCTATTAAATAATCCTATTGTCTCCTCACTGAATAGAATTATCCTTCTTGTCATATATCACATTTCTACATGTACTTCAATCTACTTTTGGATTGTCCTGATTCCCATCCAATACCAATTAAGTTGATTACAGTGACCATGTGTTATGTTCTAATATCCATCTTCCCTCTATATTGTAGATAGAGGGATTTCTGTAAAGTACAAATCTGACTTCCCGCTATTAAGATTCATTGGCTTCCCAGTGCCAGCTGAATAGAGTCCAGGCTCTTTGGCACACATGGCCATGGCTCCTATCTACATCCCTGGAATCCTCTCTGGCTACACCACTTCTCTTCTTTCACACTCTAGGACTATCAGACTACTTGAAATCCACTGAATACTAAATGCATTTCATGCTTTCACCTCTTAGTTATATGAAATCCCTTTCCCACCTCTCTTCCTTGAGCTAACCATCACTCCTTCAAAATTCATTTCAGACATTGTCTTTTCCAGAAAGTGTTTCCAAAACCCTCAAGTTACCATGTATTCTCCATTAATACCTTTTATACCCAGTGTACTATATTTACATCTTTTTAAGTGTGTCTGCCTTTTTAAGTGTGTATTTCCTCTGCCTTCTAGAACAAAACAAAACAAAAAAAAAGCAGATCTTGAGGACCATGCTCTTCTGTAGGAGTTTCCACACATTGTGTTTGCAAATTCTTGTTGGTTTTTGAGGACGCCCATCATTTACTATGTCTCTATGTTAGTATTTATGCACATTATAAAACATACACCAAAGAGTTTTAAGAAGATGAAGCAAATATTACTTTAAAATGTTTTGCTAATGGTGATGGCTTTATATCACCATTAGCTAATATCTTAAGAAACAATATCCATTTAGGGCCTTCTGTTGTTTATGGAAGAGGGTGTACATCCACATACTAAAAAGTCAATTTTGGGGAGCTGACTTCTTATAAGATATATTGTCATTGTTTTTACTTCATGATGTGGCTGAGGACGTGCTTGTAGTAAGAATAGAAGAAGGGAACGCTCTGCAATTTTTGAAATGTTCACTAGAATTATCTTTGATTTATGTTCTCTGGAATATTTAAGCCATGCATCCATCTTGAGTTAGTTTAATTCAAACTAACACAACATAATTTAAAATTCATTTAGCTGGGCTCATGGACCAGGCAATGAGTTGGAGCTGTCAACTTCTCCATGTTCTAGAACTCCCAATCTTCCCTCAAAATATTTTTACCCATATATGGACCAAGTAAGGGTAAGAGTGGAATCTACATATCAAACA